>NT_167247.2:277147-378403 GCF_000001405.40 Homo sapiens
GGCCAAGCTGATTCAGACAGCACAGCTTCCCGGTGTCTGCAGGGCTGGACCAAAGAGAAGAGTCTTCCGCGGGTGCTAGAAAAGCGAAGCACGCGTTACCATGGAGACTGCGGAATGGAAAAGCGTTCGGTTTCTTGTTTCCTAGCCGCGAATGGGGTCGTGGTTCCTTCGACCTCGCCTGGGGAGAAAGGGGACGGAGGGCTTCGGGCTATACTTGGGCCACACAGCCGGGAAGCTGAGGCCGCGGGGCAGGTCTGCGTGGCGGCGTCGAGTCCGAGCGGGGAAGCCCCTTTGCGGGAACTCTGGGGCGGGGCGGGGCGGGGAGGTGGGTAGGGAGGGTCCCGCCAGCAGAGGCATCTTATTTTTAACCTCTTCTCGGCTGTTTTTCTCTCGTCCATTTGCTCTCCTCCTTTAAGCCATCCTTTAATATTAAACATTAAAAAATATATTTGGCAAACATTTGAATAGAGCGCGCTTATTCTGGGTCAGGTGTCGTTTTAAATGCTTTATGTGTGCTAACTCATTTAATTCTCAAACAATCCAATGGGGTAAGTATTATCATTATCCCAATTTTTAGATAGGCCTGGAGAAGATAATAAACTTACCAACAGTGTCACAGCTGGTAAGTTGAGGGTGGGAAACCCCGGCCTAACACATATATTTTCTTTTTATGTTCTGTAAGGATTGGGATCCTTTTCATTTTATTAGACAGAAAAGGACAGTTAGCACTGTCATTGAACCCTCAACATGGTATGATCTCTTGAGAAGATTAAGCAGCCATTTGGTGGCAGATTGATCACTTTGAACCCTTTCTATTAATACCTTGCAGTGGGCAGAGACTCATCCTTATAGGGATTTGTATGTATTCCAGGTATAATTTTGCTTCCCTGTCTCCAATGCCCCTGCTAATACTACCCAAGGACTCACAATGTCTGATGTACTGACATGGAACCTTGCCTTACATCTCAGACCAAGGGACTCACTTTACTGTGAAGGATGTGTTACAAAGGGCACATGATCATGGGATCTACTGGTCCTACCTTATTCTATATTACACAGAAATGGCAGCCTGTTTTTCCCCAGCTTTGCCAACATAATAATTAGCAAAACTTTTTAATTATATGATAATATATTTCAGGAAGAAAACACTGACAACCGTGAAATTCAAACTAGATAGTAGAGAAACTGGAATTGGGGAGACCAGTTAGAAAGCGGTTTGGAAACAAAGATACACATGAGTTTTAAAGCTGTGGGCTAATGTAGATGTTGATGTGATTATAAGTCTCTGTTAAAAGAGTTAGGGTGAGGTTTGAGGTGGTTTTAGATTATTATTTTTGCTAAAGAACCCAGAAATGACTAAGTTTATCCCTGTCAATCACTTCTGACACTCTACTCATATCATGTTCCTAAGGAAGTTGAACAAAAGGAGCGATAGCCAAATGGGACTAACTATAATAGCTAATATTTATTGAGTACTTAATACTGTACTAAAGATATTGTGTGCTACATTTTACTTAATATTCTATGGGGCAATAAGCAGAACTATTCAGAAATGATCCTGGGATCTCACTCTAGATTGCCCAGGAAATGTGCTAGCTACAACTGGAGTTTCCCGTTCCTCTTGGAAAGAGGGGCTGCACCTACGTATAGCTTTGCATGAGACCAGCTGCTTACACTTTCTAACACGAAGGGGCTGCAACTGTCCATAGGATGCATGGTCTCCAGGTGTTGGGCATCTGGTCCTCAGATGCTTCCTCAGCTCTGCTAGCATCTAAACCCAGACTGCCCGGCAATCAAGTAGTCTGCTTGTTGTCTTACTGAAAAGTGGTGTTCAAGTTTATCCTTGACAAGATAGAATAATTGGGTCAGGACCAGAGCCCCAACCTATTGCATGTGAAATGGCTTGTTCTTGCCCCTGGTTCACCTCTCCATGGGATTATGAGAGGATTGAGAACTCTATGCCTCTTGTGCCTGACTCTTGCTTTCTAAGTTTCCCCAGTAAATCTTATTCCCATTCCTTCGTTCATACTATGTGATGTTGTAGAATTTATTGCAAGGCCCGTTGTACCACATCCTTGCAGCAAATTTATGACTCAGAAATTACTATTTCTATCTTAGAGATGAGGAATATGAGACAGAAAAAGTCACATAGCAGGTAGGTGGTAGGATTTGAAACCAAGTCATCTAGTTCCTGAGCCCATGATCTCAAAAACTTTGTTAAACTAAATGGAACTACTAATTTATAAAGAGCTAAGTGAGTGCTCAGATAATCAAATAATCACCCATGGAGAAGTTCAAATCTCTTGCAGAAGTTCAGATCTCTGTTGGAGCATGTAGCCTAGATTTAACCTCCAGTGGTGCCTTTAACTTTGTCCTAAGTCTTAGGCTTGTGTCAACTGCTGGCCAGCTACATGGAGGAAATAAGTTGAGAAAAAGCAGGAAGCAACATGGCTGGGTCTACAGAGAAGATCCAAGTTTAGCTGTCTCATGCTCTTTGGGCCCAGAGGAGAGGAAAAGCAAGACAAAGTCTTAAACTTTCCACCAGATATCAAGACCTTGTTGATGTCCTAGAACATGACCAATCAGATTAATGATGGCTCTACCTGGGAAGAGTAGCTGAGAAAGGATTAAGTTGAGGCAGGCCTGGTGTGGGCAGATGTTGTTGAATGTTTCCCACTACCCCTTCCAGCCCACTGGAAGAATGGGTTTTTTAAAAAAACATACACTCAAGATGAGCTCTATTAGTCATTTCCTCATCTCACTTATTATTCCAGTTAAACCAAGGCTGAAGGACAGAAAGATCACAAACTTATTAATCTCTGGACAAACCTAGCTCAGGGCCAGAATCAGGAGGGTGAATCTCAGGAGGCTGTAACCCAACTGATTGCAAATAGGATTTTGGAATAACAGTTTCTGAGGTGTCACAAAGAACTGTCAGCCCTTGTGTCTGTTCTCTAATAGAATTTTTACTTTCTTCTATGATCCCAAATTTCATAAACTCATACTATAACTAGGAAGTAGGCAGAAATGTCCTTTTGATGAACCAAATAATCAGAAACTTTTCTAATAATCCTCTTTGTGTATTTTTCCAGCCACAGAACTGAGTCATTCATTACCCAAAGCTAAACCCTGCCTACATGGTAACGCTTTTGTAAATGGGATTCTTTCTCTCTGACATCCCTTTTTCCTGCAGTCCCTTATACCCTCTCAATACCAGTGTGGCTCAAGGGGCCTTCAGTTCTGTCCTAATTCAGTCTCACATTCAAGCTGCACCTCCTTAGGCACCAGAATGCGAGAGAAGGTTGTTCCTTCAGGGAATATTTTCTTTTGGCAGGGCCATGTCACTGAGTCAGGCTTACTAATTATGTCCCAAGGTGGGCTCAGCCTCTGGCCCTTCAAGGAGCTTAGAGAGCTCTGGAGAGCTAAAGGACGCAATTCCACTCAGTTCCCCTAGGGACTTGTTTTGTTACGACCCTGTAGCGGTTGCCGCCAGCCTCCCGTCCCCGGACAGCGCGCCTCTTT
The DNA here is from genome assembly GCF_000001405.40 of Homo sapiens. Taxonomy (NCBI): domain Eukaryota; kingdom Metazoa; phylum Chordata; class Mammalia; order Primates; family Hominidae; genus Homo; species Homo sapiens. Next base: position 280,670 of record NT_167247.2, read on the forward strand.
CCTCCGCGCGGAATCTCGCCTTGCCGAGAGGTGACAGCGTGGTGCCAGGCCTCGCTCGCTCTCCGCGCCTCCTCGGCCTCGGCGCCCACTCTGGCCGCGCTCGAGGAGCCCTTCAGCTCGCCGCTGCACTGTGGGAACCCCTCTCTGGGCTGGCGAGGCCGGCTCCCTGTTTGCGGGGAGGTGTGGAGGAAGAGGCGGGAACTCTCTTGCGGGCCAGTGCGAGTTCCGGGTGGGCGCGGGTTCCGGGGGCCCCACACTCGGAGCGGCCGGCCGGCGCCACCGCTCCGGGCAGTGAGGGGTTTAGCACCCGGGCCAGCAGCTACGGAGGGGGCGCTGGGTCCCCCACCGCTGCCGGCCCACCCGCGCCGCGCTCGCGTGCTTCAGCCGCCTCCTCGCGGGGCAGGGCTTGGGACCTGCAACCTGCCATGCCCGAGAATTCGCGGTGGGCTCCTGCGCCGCCGGAGCCTCCCCGACGATTGCCGCCCCCTGCTTCACGGCTTCCCGTCCCATCCACCGCCCAAGGGCTGAGAAGTGCGGGCGCACGGCGCGCGGGACTGGCGGGCAGCTCCGCCTGCGGCCCGGGTGCAGGATCCACCAGGTGAAGCCAGCTGGACTCCTGAGTCTAGTGGCGACTTGGAGAACCTTTATGTCTAGCTAAGGGATTGTAAATATACCAATTAGCACTCTGTATCTAGCTAAACTGGTGGGGACTTGGAGAACCTTTATGTCTAGCTAAGGGATTGTAAATACAGCAATCAGCACTCTGTGTCTAGCTCAAGGTTTGTAAACAAACCAATCAGCACTCTGTGTCTAGCTAATCTGGTGGGGACTTGGAGAACCTTTATGTCTATCTAAGGGATTGTAAATACACCAGTCAGCACTCTGTGTCTAGCTCAAGGTTTGTAAATACACCAATCAGCACTCTGTGCCTAGCTCAAGGTTTGTAAATGCACCAATCAGTGCTCTGTGTCTAGCTAATCTAGTGGGGACTTCGAGAACTTTTGTGTCTAGCTCAGGGATTGTAAACACACCAATCAGCACCCTGTCAAAACGGACCAATCAGCTCTCTGTAAAATGGACCAATCAGCAGGATGTGGGTGGGGCCAGATAAGGGAATAAAAGCAGGTTACCGGAGTTGGCCGTTGTAATTTGTTTTGTCCTGTTTCACATTGTGGTGGTTTTATTTTTTACTATTAGCTGCTTGGATCTGCATTTTGTTTTGTGAGGTGTAACACTGTGAGGGCCTGTAGTTTCACTCTTGAGGTCAGCGAGGCCACGAACCCACCTGGAAAAACAAACAGTTCCAGATATGCCGCCTTAAGAGCTGTAACACTCATTGTAGAGGTCTGCGGTTTCACTTCTGAAGCTAGCTAGTCGACGAACCCACCAAAAGGAATAAACTCCAAACACGTCTGACTATCAGAAGGAACAAACTCCAGACACATTTTTTAGAACTAATACCCTGAGGGTCTGCAGCTTCATTCTAGAATCATGCCAAGAACTCACAAATTTCTGACACATTGCTTTTCCGCAGGAGGTTGCGGGAAGACGTACAAGGAAGGGTCGGGATGGTGCTTGAGGTGGTCAGAGCCACACCCAGGGCTGCATTCTCATCAGAGACACCTCTAAGTTACTGCGAAGTCGGAGACACCAGAAAGGAAGACTCCAACGTATTCCGAGAGGAGTGGAGGCAAATGGGATAGACTAGCCCTCCCGCCCGGGATCCCGCGTCTCGGGGAACGGAGACCCGGGCACACGCCACTTGCTTGCTGGGAGGTTCCTTACAAGTTACATAGAGGGGGAGCTTTTCCTGGCCAAACGTGGGTTATTCTCGTTCTCCCTTCCCCACACTGTCGCAGAGGAGGAAGACGTCTTGGTCGCCGTTAAGAGCTAAAACGAACGCCAAGGCTCTAAGTGGCCCTGGGGTCCAGCGCTCGCCGGAGGCACCAGCGTGTGCAGGCCCGGAGCGCCGTCTTCTGGGCGAGGAGTGTCATTAGTAACACTTTATGTTGCGGATAGGTGAAAGAAAAACTGACGCTTCGGAGATGGGGGTGCCCAAAGAGGAAGAGAGAACAGCGATTAGGGCCTTAAACCTCACACCCGAACAAATTCGGCCGGAGTTACTGAGCGGCAGGCTCTCTGATGGAGATGGGTGCTTTCAGACTTAAGACGTGAAAACAAAGATCAGCCACTCATGAACGAACTCAAGGCTCACTGAGATGCAACTGCCATGAAGAAGTGGGTGCAGGGTGAGAGGTCTGTCTACCTCCTTAGAAGGACCACTGTGGCTTGTGCAGAGATCCGAAGTTTGTTCTCATTACAATGGGGACGGTGAGTGCTAGTAATGTGGACCATTTTTCAATAGCGCCACCTTGTGGCAGTGACAAAATGGCCGTAGTGGACTTGGGCTCAGGTGCTTTCTTGAGTGTGCAAACTGGTAAGAACTAATTTTTTGAATCAGATTTGGGGATTATTCAGGCAGAAGGGGATCCCTAAATGGAAACACTGACATTTTAATACTGCAAGTGGGGGATGATGAACAGACAAATAACAAGCAATGGGGGGCCACATTTGTGTTCAGAATTCATGGAACTTTTTTTTTTGATTTTTCTATTTCTCATTTTTTTAATGTATGTATTTTGAGGGTACATGTAATATTTTGATACATAACGTATAAAGGTCAAAGATAAGGATAATTTGTGTGTGTGTGTATATATATGTATAAACTTAAATGTCCTTTTTGCTTGGAACGTTCAAATTTTTTTCTAGTTATATCTAAATATATATCAAGCAATCTTTTAGATATTTTGAAATGTCTAACATTATTTTGAGACAGAGTCTAGCACTGTCACCCAGGCTGGAGTGCAATGGCGTGATCTCGACTCACTGCAACCGCTGCCTCCTGGGTTCAAGCGATTCTCCTGCCTCAGCCTCCCAAGTAGCTGGGATTACAGGCATACGCCATCACACCGGGCCAATTTTTATATTTTTAGTAGAGGCGGGGTTTCACCATGTTGGTCAGGCTGGTCTTGAACTCCTGACCTCGTGATCGGCCACCTCTGCCTCCCAAAGTGCTGGGATTACAGGCGTGAGCCACCGCGCCCAGCCAGAAGTGTCTAATAGATTATAGTCACCCTACTGATCTATTGAACTCTGGTTGTCTTTCTTCTACCTAATTGTATACTTATACCGTTTAACCAACCTCTCTTTATCCCACGTCTTCCCTCCTCTTTCCAGGCCCTGATAACCACCATTGTACTCCCTAGCTTCATGAGATCTTCTGTTTTAGCTCCCACATAGGAGTGAGAACATGCAGTATTCATGAATCACACTCATCATGAGCGATCTTCTTGGTTGTTGAATTGGGGTTGCTAGTTATTTTGAGAATTTTTGTATCTATGTTCATCAGGGATTTTGGCCTGTAGTTTTGTTTTTGATTTGATTTCTGACACAGATTTTGCTGTATCCTTGTCTGGTTTTCACATCAGGGCAATGCTGGCCTTGTAGAATGAGTTTAGAGGAATACCCTCCTCTTCAATTTTTTTTTAAAAGAGTTTGAGTAGAATTGGTATCAGTTCTCTAAATATTTGCTAGAATTCAGCAGTGAGGCCATAATGTCCTGGGCTTTTCTTTGATGAGAGACTTTATTAAGGCTTCAATTTCATTACTCATAATTGGTTTGTTAGGGTTTCTATTCATGGTTCAATCTTAGTACGTTGTATATGTTTAATAATTTATCCATTTTTTCTATGTTTTCCAATTTGTTGGTGTATAGTTGTTCATATTCTCTGATTCTTTGTATTTTTGTGGTCTGTTATATCTCTTTTTTTTTCTTTCTGATTGATTTATTTAGGTTTCTCTTTTTTAGTCTAGGGAAAGGTTTGTTAATTTTGTCTATCTTCAAAAAATCAACTTTTCATTTCATTGATCAAATGTATTTATGTTTTAGTTTCAATTTCATTTATGTCTGTTCTGATATTTATTTCTTTCTACTAATTTTGGATTTGGTTCATCCTTGCTTTTTTGAGTTCCTTGAGATCCATTTTTAGGTTGATTATTTGAAGTCTTTTCCCTTTTTTGATGTAGGTGTTTATTGCTATAAAGATATTGTTATGCTGTATTCTGTAGGCTTCGGTATGTTGTATATCTATTTTCACTAGTTTCATGAAATTTTTAAAATTTTCTTAGCTTATTCATTGACCCATTGGTTGTAGGAGCATGTTGATTTCCATGTGTTTGTATAGTTTCCAAGGTTCCTCTTGTTGATTTCTGGTTTTATTCCATTGTGATCAGAAAAGATACTTGATATAATTTTTACTTTTTTGAATTTGCTGAGACTTCTTTTGTGACTTAAGATATGGTCTGTTCTGGAGAATGTGCCATGTGCAAGTGAAAAGAATGTGTACTCTGTAGCAGCTGGGTGAAATGTTCTATAAATGTCAGGCCTACTTGGTCTAGTGTGTAGCTTAATTCCAATGTTTCTTTATTGATTTTCTCCCTGGATAATCTGTTACTGAAAGTGAGGTGTTGAAGTCCCTACTATTATTATATTGGAGCCTATCTCTCCCTTGAGATTTATTAATGTTTGTTTTACATATTTGGATGCTCTGGTGTTGGGTGCACAGATATTTATAATTTTTAATATCCTCTTGATGAATTGACCCCTTCATCATTATATAGTGACCTTTTGTCACTTTTTACATTCCTTGACTTGTAGTCTGTTTTATCTGATATAAGTATACCTAATCCTGTTCTCTTTGATTTCCACTTGCATGGAATATCTTTTTCCATAAATTCACTTTCAACTTATGTATGTCCCTATAGGCAAGATGGGTTCTTGTAGCACCACATAGTTGGGTCTCGTCTCTTTACCCATTTAACTTCTATACATCTTTTAATTGGAGAATTTGGTCCATTTATATTCAGTGTTATTATTGATAAGTAAGGACTTATGACTGCCATTTTGTTGCTTGTTTTCTGGTTGTTTTGTAACGTCTTTCTTCCTTTATTCTTTTGCTACTGTATTTCTTTGTGGTTAAGTTATTTTCTCTGGTAGAATGCTTTAATTCACTGCCTTCTATTTTTAGTGTATTAATTACAGATTTTTGCATTGGGGTTACCATGAGGCTTACAAAACATATCTTATAGCTACTTTGTTTTATTATTACTTATTATTCTGATACAGGGTCTCTGTCACCCAGGCTGGAGTGCAGTGGTGAGATCTTGGCTTACTGCAGCCTCTACCTTATTGAACTCAGGCAATCCTCCTACCTCAGTCTCCTGAGTAGCTGATACCATAGACACATGCCACCATAGCCAGCTAAGTTTTGTATTTTTTGTAGAGATGAGGTTTTGCCATGTTGCCCAGAGTGGTTTTGAACTCCTGAGCTCAAGTGATTAGCTAGCCTTGGCCTCCCAAAGTGCTGGGATTACAGGCATGAGCCATGGCGCGCAGCTGATATTTTACAAAGATGACAACTTAACTTTGATCACAAAGAAAAGACTAGAAACAAACAAAAAAACTTAAATAACCCCCACAAAACCCTGCCCTTTAACTCTATACCCCTACATCTTGACTTTTTGTTGTCTCGGTTTACATATTTTTATATTGTCTATCTCTTAGCAGGTCACTGTAGCAATTATTGTTTTTGATAGGTTTGTCTTTTAGATTTCATACTACAGTTATAAATGGATTGCACACCACAATTAGAGTATTAGAGTATCCTGGGTATGTCTTGTACTTAATGTTACCAGTGGTTTTTTTCCTCAAATATTTTCTTTATGCATGTTAGCATCTTTTTCTCTTAGATTGAAGGACTTCATTTGCCATTTATTTTAAGATAGGCCTGGTGGTAGTGAATTCTCAGCTTTTGTTTGTCAGGGAAAGATTTTATGTCTTCTTCATGTTTGAAGAATAGCTTTTCTGGTACATTAATCTTGGATGGCGGTTTTATTTCTTTTAGCACTTTGAAAATGCCATCCCACATCTACCTGGCCTGTATAGTTTCCATTGAGGAGTCTGTTGCCAGAATAATTGGAGCTCTTTGTATGTTATTTACTTCTTTTCTCTTGCTGCTTTTATTTTTTATTTTATTTTATTTTTTTTGAGACTGAGTTTTACTCTTGTCACCCAGGCTGGAGTGCAATGGTGCTATCTCGGCTCACTGCAACCTCTGCCTCCCGGGTTCAAGCGATTCTCCTGCCTCAGCCTCCTGAGTAGCTAGGATTACAGGCACCCACTACCATGCCCCACTAATTACTGTATTTTTAGTGGAGACAGGGTTTCACCATGTTGGCCAGGCTGATCTCGAACTCCTGACCTCAGGTGATCCACCTGCCTTGGCCTCCCAAAGTGCTGGGATTACAGGCATGAGCCATGGCGCCCAGCCAACTTTTGTAATCCTCTTTGTCCTTGACCTTTGAGAATTTGATTATTGTATGTCTTGGGGTGGTCTTATTTGGGTTGAATCTGTTTCATGTTCTCTAATCTTGTACCTAGATACTTATATATTTCTTAAGTTTGGAAAGTTTTGAGTTATTTCTTTGGATAAGCTTTCTAAGTTTTGCTCTTTCTGAATTCCCTCTTGAGCACCAATCATTCTTAGATTTGTCCTTTTGAGGTACTTTTCTATATTATTTAGGTGATCTTCATTCCTTTGTATTCGTTTCCCTTTTTTCTCCTCTAACTGTATTTTCAAATAGCCTGTCTGAGTTTACTAATTCCTTCCACTGTCTGATCCATTCTGCTGTCGAGAGTCTCTAATAAATTTTTCAGTTTGACAAGTATATTTCTCAGTTCCAAGATTTTTGTTTGATTTTAAAAAATTATTTTAATCTCTTTGTTAAATTTCTCTGATAAATTTTTGAATTGCTTTTGTGTGTTATCCTTGAGTTCACTGAGTTTCTTTAAAACTGCTATTTTGAATTCTTGGTGAGAGAGCTCACATACCACTGTCTTGCCTAGGGTAAGTCATTGGTTCCTTGCTTTGTCTGTTTGGGGAAGTCATGTATATTAGTCTGTTCTCTCACTGCTATACAGAAACACATGAGACTGAGTAATTTATAAAGAAAAGAGGTTTACTTAGCTCATGGTTCTGCAGGCTGTACAGAAAGCATGACAGCATCTACTTTTTTTTCGCCCTCTTGGTCTTGCCTTCTTTCTGACATCACATGGAGTCTGCAGTCCAGGTTTTCCTTGGCCCTAGTAAATGACTGGAGCACTGCCGGACCCAAATGTAGAAGGTCTTACGGGGGATATCCCAATAGGGTGGGAAGTCTGGCTAGAATTTCGTGCTCAGGGAACCTGTGGAACATACCTCCTATGGTGTGTCGCTGCTGACCAGCTTCGCTGATTTGGCGTCTCCTTTGGCTGAGTTAAAGAAGAGTGTTTCTAGGGTTGGGGAAGGAAGTCCCACCTCCCCACTTTTTCTCTGGTTGTCTTTGGGAATATTTCTCCCTTTAAGTACTTAGGGACAGATCTCTTGCCAGGGAACCCAAGATGGTGGGGAAACTGGTTATCCACTTCAATCTCACTTTTTCCAGTGTAGAAACTGGCGGTGAGGTGGGGGAAGTTTTCCACATGCTTGGTGCTAGGCAGATTTGGGAGAGGGATGTCACGGATTTGGAAGTCTGATTCTTACAGCGTCTGCTTGAAGTTTTTTACTTCTTTGTTGCCACGGGCACTGTTCCATCTTCATATTTGAGTTCTGGGATATTGCTGGTGATAATCTCAGCACCGTGTATTTGTTGTAGGTTTTCTGTGGAGGAAAAATAAAGCCAGCTTCCTTATATGCAGCCATTTTGGAACCAAACTCTCACACATTCCATGGAACATTTCTAGCCAGCAAGGTACAATGACTAGCAAGGAAACAAACTTTTTTTTTCCTTCAGTATTTCAGTTGACTCACAAGAACATAAAATGTGACCTATCTTTTCATGTGGCCAACTTTAAATGTTAACTTAATATCTTAGATAAAAATAGTTTAAAATACACATCCATTTAAGTTAAAAAGAATAATTTAAAGTTTTATTATTCTTTGATAGTTTTTCTTTTGATGCTACACCTAGTGACTACCATATTTTAAAACAGACATGTTCTAATTGCTCTTGAATCTTCAACTCGAAAGAAACTATGGTTTTATAAATTAGTGATAACAGTGAGTGTCCTCTTTAAAAAATATCTGCCATTTCTGACAAATGACAAATAGCTGATATTATTTTTTCTTAAAAGGAACTCTATTCTTTTAACATACAGTCTCTCTTGTTTAATAAAACTGAAAGTAAAGAATAGATAGAAATAGTCCTACCTCAGTTCAGGTCAGGTTTTGTTGCCAACAGAGTTATGAAAACTTTTAGTTTTCTACCTGGGTGTGGTAGCTCTCACCAGTAATACCAGCTACTTGAGAGAACTGCTTGAGGCCAGGAGTTTGAGACCAGCTTGGGTAACATAGTGAGACCCTGTCTCAAAGAAAAAAAGGAAAGCTTTTAGTTTTCTGACCATTTTATTTTTGTTTATTTTAATTTTTTTATTTCAATAGGGTTTTGGAGGGACAGGTGGTGTTTCCTTACATGAATAAGTTCTTTAGTGGCGATTTCTGAGATTTTGGTGCACCCATCATTTGAGCAGTGTACACTGTACACAGTGTGTAGTGTTTTATCCCTCACCAGCCCCCACCCTTTTCCCCGAGTCCCCAAAGTCCAATGTATCGTTCTTATGCCTTTGCATTTCTGACCATTTTAGATTCAGAATTATGGATAAGGGATTTTCAGCCTATACTGATCATGTCTAGAAGTTCTGTTTGTTTCTTTAAAAAAAAGTTCATGTAGCAGCAGATAACTAATACAACCAGAAATAAATGAGATATTGTTTCCTCAAATTCTTTTTTTTTTTTTTTTGAGATGGAGTCTTGCTCTGTTGCCCAGGCTGGAGTGTAGTGGTGCAATCTCGGCTCACTGCAACCTCTACCTCCTGGGTTCAAGCCATTCTCCTGCCTCAGCCTCCGGAGTAGCTGGGACTACAGGTGCCCACCACCACGCCCAGCTTACTTTTTCTATTTTTAGTAGAGATGGGGTTTCACCATATTGGCCAGGCTGGTCTTGAACTCCTGACCTTGTGATCTGCCCACCTCAGGCTCCCAAAGTGTTGGGATTACAGGCGTGAGCCACCATGCCCAGTCACAAATTCTTGATACTATATTATGTTATTGTTACCAGGCAAAAGGGGCTCACTGCTGGATGTGCTAGAAGCTAATACTATGACACTGGATTTCTAAGAAAAGAAAAGCTCTTTATTATAGGTTGACCAATAAGGAGACAGGAATCTAGCTCAACTGTATCTCCCTGTGCTGGCTTTAAGATAGTAATTTTATTAGAAAAGGTTTGCGGGTGGATTCTGGGATTAGCAGGTGGTTGGTGGAAGGAAAAGGGAGGTCTAGAAAGTCCTCAAATGCACAGTTATCTCCATTCCTCTTCATGGGTCCCACGTGCAAATTCAAAGGGAGTTAGTATGAAACATGCAGTGGAAATCGGGCTGTGACATTAACAAGCTTGTTCTGTGCAAACTCCATTTGGTCATGTTGGTTCCAACTAATTTTGGACACTCTTGTTATCTCACAAATGGAGGGAATTTCAGCGTTTCAGCAAGTTATTTATTTTCTTATCTGCTATCTGGCAAACTCAAGATTTCTGTTAGTTATTGGTTTCCTATTCTTTGGGGCACAATTTCAGTTTCAACTTTTCAGCAAGTTGTTTCTTTTTTTATATACTATCCTATAAACTCAAGAATTTTATCATTAAAAAAACTCTTTAGGGCATGATTTTTTCATCAAACTTAAAAAAAAAATCCCCAATATAACAGAGAATTTCCAGCATTTTAACCTGAAACTGAAGACCATTACTGAATGCAGTTTTCAATTGCCAATCTAGAAGTTTACTAATTCTGTGTATTGGATGTGCATATCCTTGTCAATCATTTTGGCCTAAGGGAGTCTTTCTTTTAATCATCTTTTCAAATAGGAAAAAGCACCAAATTAAGTGTTTTCTCAAACTTTTTCATTATAGTTATTTCATTTCTAACAAAATTTTAGTGCCACAGTTATATTGTGTAACTGCTTATGTACAGAGGCTCTTTGGAGGACCACCAACCATTGTAATACCAAAGATTTTTGCTACCTCCCCTTGAATCAATTTTGCCCCTGTGGGGATGATATCATCCCTGATATGAAGGCATATATTGAGAGAAATAAGACAAACTATTAAACCAAATTTTAATAGATGACAGTACTTTAAAAGAAAATTAATTTAAAAATTTAGTCATTTCTGGGATATGAGATAATGAGCAATTTCTTTTATTTCTCTTATTTTCTAGTTTCCATTATGTACTTATATATACCTCTAGGGGATGTTGTAAAGATTCTATAATATTATGTATGTATTCTATAATATGTATGTGAAAGAAAAACTGTATCTTTTCCTTTGCTAACTCATAGATGTTTAAATATATTACATTTTAGGTGTTAGATGATTTATATATCTTCAGTGTTAACACAAACTGAAGATATTGCTCTAATATTCATCACCCAATGAGAATTTGTGATATTCTGCAGATTTGGTAACATTTTCATGGAGATTTAATAAAAAACATTGACATATTCATTCTACAGACATTTATTGGCTATGTAATTCATGTCAGAAACTGATTCGACACAGCAAAATCACGTGAATAAGAAGGTCTATATTGTTGAAAAGCTTACCAATGCATCTTCTTCAAACACACATACAAACAACTAAATAAAAATGGGATAATGCCCTATACTTATATGGTCAGGGTTTTCAAGGACTATAGACCATAGACTGATGAGATTCATAAATACTTTTCAGTTGAGACAAGATTTCAGCAGGGTATGAAGGTTGAATAGAAGGTTTTTAAGTGATAAATGCCTAGCAAGATTTAGGATCACTCATTTTTAACAAAGGAAAATTGATACTCTTTTTTAGTGGCCACAATTTTATCATTCTATACTTTTGTCTTTCTTCCATAGTCCTTATGACACCATGAAGTTTACAGTGTCTTCATGCTTTCCTTATCCTGATTTCACTGTCCTCTCTCATATTTTTTTATGTTTACCAAGGTATGTACAACTGACAATTTTAGAGTCATCTGCAAAGAAAAGATAACTATTAGGTACTGGGCTTAACACCTGGGTGATGCAATAAGATGTATAATAACCCCCCATGACACGTGTTTATGTAACCTTCACATGTACCCCCAAACCTAAAATAAAAGTAAAAGAGGAATCAAAACCTTGAAATAAAGGTATGATGTTCTTGCTGTGGAAATTTAGAAGCCACAGGGTTTAAGGATTGTAGAGACATCATAAGCCCTATTACTCCCATCTTCCTACTCAATTACTTCATGTAAGCTGTGGCTTACTCTGTCTTTGAAATGACATAGCAAGGGCACTATAGATATGGGGAATCTTTCACTTGCAGAGAGGATTTTCAATCTCTGAAATGGCTGATTTGCAGAGAAGTGGAGTCGTTTATTCTCTAGCACAGGGATTTCCAGATTTTGAATGTATTTACCAGTAAAACAAAGTAAAGCAAAGTAAAAACATAAGCTTGCTAAATTTTCTTTTGTCATTTAAGAGCACCAAGCTTTGAGCGTGAATGTGCTTTGGATAAATGAATTGATTTCACTTCTCTTGATAAATGCCAATATTTCTTTAGTGCTCTACATTCTACTTTTTTCCATCTAATTCATGATTCTGCTGAAGATTTTTTCATCCACAGTATTCTCTTCAGTGCACTCTTTACATCTTTGTTTCTTAAAGTGTAGATGGGAAGGTTAAGGCTGGGTGTGATGATTGTGTGAAAGAGTGAAGAACTTCCCTTCATCTTGGGATATGGTATTCTGTGGCTTCATGTATATATAAATGATTGTTCCATAAAACAGAATTACTACTGTGAGGTGGGAGCCACATGTATTAAGGATCTTTTGCAACCTTGTTGCTGACTTGATCCTCATTACAGCTTGAGTGATAACTCCATATGAGATAAGAATTAGTGATAGAGGTACGAAAAGAAATACCACTCCGAAAGCAAAGACAACAATCTCAATTACTTTTGAATAGACACAAGCCATCTTGATCAATGCTGGCATCTCACAGAAAAAATTATCCACTTCCCGGTGCCCACATCTTGGCAACTTCAAAGTCAAGGAGCAAACAATTAAGGCACTGGCAAGACCACTCAACCAGGCAGTGGCAAAGCTGAGGGTGCATTTTAAGGTGTAGTGAAGAGGTTGACAGACAGCAGCATAACGATCATAGGCCATCACAGCCAACAGAAGACATTCTGTGGCTCCCAAGTCAAGGACAAAAAAGAATTGGAGTACACACCCTCCATAAGTAATAGATTTTTTTGGGCCCCATTGATTTGCCAGCATCTGGGGGATAATGCTAGTTGTATAACAGAGGTCCAAGAAAGACAAATTGGATAAGAAAAAATACATGAAGGTATGGAGCTGGGTGTCTAGATAAGATACAAGAATGATGGTTGTATTTCCTACCAGAGTCACAATATAGATGATGAAGACAACCACTGAGATGATGTGCTCTAATTGGGGTCGATCAGAAAACCCCAGAAGGATGAAATCTGTTCCAGAACTTACACTGCTTGTTTCCATTGTTCCTTAAGAAAAGCTAGCAGGCAATATCATGGTAACCAAAAATAGTGTCAGGTTTAGGTAGAACTGAAAATCTCTGAAGTTTCTCAAGGGTATCCAAAACTCTCTTATTTGCATGCTCTCTCTCATTTGGAACATCTCTTTTAACATTTCCCTATGGCCCAGTGCTCACAACTTGTTCATATTTAATCCAAAATTAATAATATGCTAAATCCAATCAGGCTGAATTGTAAATCATTGAAAAAACTTAATTTGCTATGTCATTCATTGTTCTATGTATTTCAATTAAGTAATAAAATCATGAAGTCAATTATGTGATTTTAAGAGAGGCATATGTATTGAGGAGTTGTTCCTCTTTGAAGCTATGACATAAGCATCACTTGATCATGATAAATCCTTGCATTATTGAAGGAGTTAAGCTTGAGGTAAAAAGTTAAATGACATCTTTTTTTGGAATAAACTCCACCATTTGATAGCAGAATCACTTTCAATATTTACTTGCAAATATCTACATTTCAGCCATTATAATTATAATTATCCTCACCACCAACTTACTCCTCCTCCTTATATTTTTTTTACCCCTCAACATTGCAGGCACTGTTGTTATTCTATCAATTTTGGTGTTCCCTACTACACTGCCTTTTTTTGTGAGTGTGTTTTTTGTTGCCAGGAAATAATTATCTTTCTTATTAATATTTACTTACATGTATAAAGGCCTATATGTTTTTTAAACAGCTTTAATGACTAATATTACACCATCTAAACAGCCTTACTGATTTGTTGCAGTTAAATGTTGAGGTAATTCCAGAACTATTTGGCCACCACGTACAACGATCTGTGTCCAATCCTACTTACCAGCCATTCAGCAGAATTAGCTGGGCGCTGGGCAGGTAATTCAAACAAAAAGCAGTTCATTAAATAGCCAGAGTTGTTTTAATCTATGGAATTTACCAATCCAACATGAGTGGATGTTCTGATTGCTTTGAAATCCTTTAGGTAAAACCATCACCCCATTGGGCTCTAAAAGAATACAGATACAGATAAAAATGTCATCAATCTCACCATTTCTGATTATTGTATCATATCACTAAGTAGACAAAATATTTAATGACTGACTGAGTTAGTTTTTTTTGTTGTTGTTGTTTGTTTTTTTTAAAGATAGAATCTTGCTCTGTTGGCCGGATGCAGTGGCTCATGCCTGTAATCCCAGCACTATGGGAGGTTGAGGTGGGCGGATCACTTGATGTCAGGAGTCCAGACCAGCAGGGCCTACGTGGGGAAAAATTTTGTATTTTCTACTAAAAATACAAAAATTAGCTGGGCGGTGTGGTGCGTGCCTGTAGTCCCAACTACTTGGGAGGCTAAGGCAGGACAATTGCTTGAACCTGGGGGCGGAGGCCACAGTGAGCCGAGATCGCACCGCTGCACTCCAGCCGGGGCGACAGAACGAGACTCTTGTCTCAAAAAAACCAAACCAAACAAAACAAAAATCTTGCTCTGTTGCCTAGGCTGGAGTGCGGTGACACAGTGACAGCTCATTGCAGCCTGGACCTCCGGTGCTCAAGTGATCCTCTCAACTGAGCCTCCTAAGTAGCTGGGACCACAGATGCATGCCACTGTGTCCAGGTAATTTTTAAATGTTTTTGTAGTGATGAGGTCTCACCATGTTGTTCAGGCTGGTTTGGAACTCCTTGGCTCAAGCAATCCTCCTGCTTCGGCCTGAGCCCTGGTGTCGAGCTAATGGCTGAATTAGTTTAAACGTTTTTTCTGCTGATAATTTCTGACCACGAAATTCAGACCTACCATACTTTACATTTATAGTGTCCTTGAGGCCATGGAATAGAAACCTCATTTGTTTCTGGTATATAGTAAAACAAGGGGAAGATAGATCATTTATATATGTCATTGTTATAAGTGTTTCAGTTAGAACAGAATAATGTTATAATCATAAAGAAGGAAATGTTATCAAGTAGTATGAGATAGAGGTGTAGTTTTTCACAGCACAAAAATGGAAATCTAATTAATAAGTGTCCAGTTTTTTTATTTTTCGCAATAGGTTGTCAACTAAGGAATGATAGTGCTTCATTGCACAGATTCTGAACTCAAAGTCCCTGGCATCAAATTCCAGCTTCACCACTTGGAAGCTGTATCCTTGGGCAATTATTTAACTTGTTTGTGTAGGAGGTTCTTTATACATGAAGAAAATATAATAAAATTTCCTTCCTCAAAGGGATGTTGTGAGGGTTAATATTTATAAAAGCACTTGGAACTGAGCTTGGTTCATCTTTAATTCTAAAAATGATAACCTATATTCACCTGTCATTGTTATTCTGTCTACCCCTTAGTCCATTAATTTTTCACACTAGTGATTTTACCGCAATGACCTAGAACTAAACTGGAATGTTTTTTAAAAAATTTGTGTAACTTTAAAATTTAGAAACATTTTTATATACACAAAAATATGCAGAATCACAATATGCACATTGAACTGAAAAGCTTCAGGAGCAGGAGATGACTTGAGGTCTCCAAATGCTTTGATTAAAAAATTCACTCAAATTCTTTTGACTGCTGTTGGGTTTGTGTTGGGAATTAAAAGGTCATGAATTTCAAAGTGGAAAAAAACCTCAGAAGTCATGAATCTAGCCTTCTGCTCTGCATAGGAGATCCTTCAACAGAATCGCTACACAGCTGCTACTGGCATAACTTCAGTGACAGGGAAGTCAATTACACTTGAAGCAGCCTCTCTCCTTTAGTCAATGCTGCTTATATTGAACTCAAAGATGATTCCTTGCCCAGCCCTGGCTGATTTTCTTTATTCTGAAAATAACACAGAGTAAGTCAATTTAACATGGCCTCATAAAAACCCCAGTATTATTATATGAACAGTGCATGGATACAACAAATAAAAAGTAAAGCTTGGTGAGTTTCAGTGTATATTCTTGTAACTATCACCTAAATCAATAAATAAAACATTGATGATTACCCTAGGAGCTTTTCTTTGTGCCTTTTACCAATGATAACTCTTCCCTATCCCCTGAAGTATCCACTATGCTGCTATTTATAGTAATCCCCTCTTTGCATGTTAGTAGGTTAATTACCCAAATGTGCACCTCTAGACAATATTGTATAGTTTGGCTTACTAAAAATTTTTTATATACCTTTTAACTCTCTTTTAATATTAGAAACTGTTACCAAATATATGCTTAGATTTCTCTTCCCAGACAAAGCACATTGTTAGCTGTTCCTACCACTACATGCTCTTTTATTACCATGCTTTTTCTTGTTGCTCTCCCTGGACACACCATGATTTGTCAAGTGCTGCAAATTAGTGAGTATAAAAGTAAGCACGATACTCCACTTATGCAACACTACTGAAGAGAATAGTGAATGTCTATGATCTGCATAATTTTCTAAAATATACGTTGGTTATTTTTAGCAGGTATAAGACATTACTGGCTCTCTTTAAACTTTGGATCACGTAAAGCCCTAGGCATTCTTATTAGAAATGCTGCCAAGTCAGGCATGACAATTTATGTAGTTTAATGTTGTGAACTCAAATACAGGACTTTTCATTTAATACTTTTTAACATTTTCATATTGATTTAAGCTTTGGATCTCAAACCAGATATTTTAATTTCAATTTAAAAGTGAATGTGTTATTTGAAATGAGACTTACAACACTCCAGCTGAAGAAATAGATGGCAAAAAAGAGGCATGCTACATTTTAATCGAAACTCAGTTTTTCATTTTTCATAGTATGGACTTCAGAGCCCAATAATCGCGCATAACTTAACATTTTGCTTTCTCCAGTGAAATCTGAGACAAATGAACCAAACATATTTCAACATAATTTATGATATTGAGAGAAAATTAGAAGCACAAAATTTCAAAACTGTCTAAAATTTTATAAAAAGTAAAAATATATGGATCTTTTATTATAAAGCATGAGGTATATTGCTGTAGTCATACAAAATTCAAGATGAAAGGACGAAATAAAAATAGGTAAGACCCTAGACTGGTTCAGACCGCCTGTGATTTTTGTTACAATTGATCTCAGCCATTTCCTTACTCTGTGGACTTGAGCAGGCTAATTAACTTCTTTAGCCTCTGATTCCTCATCTGTAAAATAGCTATTCTAATAGCACCTGCTTTGTAGGATGGCTATGAGGAGGATTACATGCTATGCTAAATATTTAGCATGATGCTTGGTGCATAGAGAGCATTCAGTAACTTCAAAATCCACTAACTGCTCTTGTTGAAGTTTAATCCTCACTCCTGAGGATTAAATTTATATTTAATCCTCAAAATGTTAGTATTATTTATATCTCACATACCTTTCACATTTTTGCTTTCATGTTAGACTGAGTCTTACGCTATCTAGGATCTGTTTTCTACCTGGAGTCATCCTCTGTTAGAGATAGCAGAGAATACTTACCAGAAGCTGAAAAGATTAGAATATATTTTCATGAAGGAAGAATTCAGAGCTGTCATGTTCTCATGTAGTCCAAACATACCCATGTTCCCATTATGACGTTTCTTCATTTAATTAATAAATTAGAAAAAAATTCTTGTTGGATGAGTTACTAATGCCCTGAAGAATTGGATTAACCACTGGTCATACTGACACTACAGTGCCATTCACACTTAAATGCAACAGCTGAAATAAGATTTAATAGAAGTCTCTATTTAATGTGGATATTGGAAGTAAACTAAATGTGGGACTGGTGAAAATCCTTAATTAGGTTTGGTTAAATATATTTTCGGTTGGCTATTTGATGTCTTTTTAATGTATACTCTTGTTATTCATATTTACAGCTAGATTTTTGCCTAATTAAACAAGGAGAACACTGTGTTGGTCAATGTATATTCCAAGAATCATTAACATGTAGCAGGGAAGTATTTATTTACAGCTCTAAAGGCTACCTATGTTGATATGGTTTAGACCTTGAGGACTGATGCCCCACAGAGGTGATTAAGTAAAGCTATGACTGTGGTCAGAGGCATATCCAAATAATAATTTCATGAAAAGTTCTCTTAACACATTAGGTTTCGGCCAGGCACAGTGGTTCATGCCTGTAATCCCAGCACTTTGGGAGGCCAAAGCGGGTGGATCACCTGAGGTCAGGAGTTCAAGACCAGCCTGACCAATGTGGAGAAACCCCGTCTCTACTAAAAACAAAAAATTAGCCGGGCATGGTGGTGCATGCCTGTAATCCCAGCTACTCAGGAGGCTGAGGCAGGAGAATCACTTGAACCTGGGAGACGAAGGTTGCGGTCAGCCGAGATTGCGCCATTGCACTCCGGCCTGTGAAACGAGCGAAACTCTTGTCTCAAAAAAAAAAAAAAAAAAAAAAAAAAAAGACGTTGGGTTTCATCTTTTCTTTTTCTTTTTAAGTTTTTAAATTTAAAAATTTGGAGATTAATTATATATTATATTAAATTTACATTGAAAAATGAATATATGATGTAAACTATATAAAAATGAACATATTTACTTGAAATTTGGTTTATTCAATTGGTAAGATCAAAATTGGATAAATTAAGTTATGTAGGTGTTGTGTCTATAGGACAAAATATTTAGTTTTAAAAAATTTATGGGATAATCATAATTCTAGGTTTATGAATTATTATCATCGTTCTATTTTCAGCAAATTAAAAATAGTATGAACACTCTGGAGCTTATCCCTCAATTTATGGTCTGGAAACTTACCACCATCCCCAGCTTCTGGTAATTACCATTCCACTCTCTGCTTCTATGAGTTTAAGTTTTTCAGATCCTCATTTAAATGAGATCATGTAGTATTTGCCTTTCTGTAACTGGCTCATTTAACTTAACATCATAGCTTCTAGGTTCATCCGTGTTGTTGGAAATGACAGGGTTTCCTTTTTTTGTTACGAGTGAATAGTACACCACATTTTCTTGATTTATTCATTCATTGATGAACACAAAGTTTGATTCCATATCTTTGCTATTGTGAATAATGCTGCCATAAACATGGGAGTGCAGACATCTCTTTAACATACTGATTTCAATTCCTTGGATATATACCCAGTGGTGGGATGGCTGGATCATATGGTAGTTCTATTTTTAATTTTTGGAGTAACCTCCACACTGTTTTATATAGTGGCTGTATTAATGTACATTCCCACTAACGGTGTGCAAGGGTTCCTTTTTTTCCCTACATTCTCACCAAGCTGTTATCTTTGCTTTTTATGACAATAGCCATTCTAAGAGTATGAAGTGATATCTCACTGTGCATTTAATTTACATCTCCCCATTGATTAGTGATGTTGAGCATTTTTCATATACATGTTGGCCATTTGTAGGTCTTCTTTTGAGAAATGTGTATTTGGGTCTTTTGCCCATTTTTATTTTCATTTTTAAAATTTTTAAATTATTTTATTTTATTTTTTATTTTTATTTTTGAGATGGAGTCTCTCTCTGTCTCCCAGGCTGGAGTGCAGTGACACAATCTCGGCTCACTGCAGCTTCCACCTCCCAGGTTCAAGTGATTCTTGTGCCTCAGCCTCCTGAGTAGCTGAGACTAGAGGCACGTACCACCATGCCTAGCTAATTTTTCTATTTTTAGTAGAGACGGGGTTTCACCATGTTGGCCAGGCTGGTCTCGAACTCTTGACCTCAAGTGATCCACCCATCTTGGCCTCCCAAAATTCTGAGATTAGAGATGTGAACCAACACAGCCAGCTCCATTTTAAAATAGAATTATGTTTTCTTGTTTGAGCTTCTTATATATTTTAGATATTAGCCCCTTATTAGATACATCATTTGCAAATATTTTCTCCCACTCCATAGGTTGTCTTTTCATTATTTTATTTGTTTCCCTGACTGTACAGGAGCTCTTTAATTTGATATAATCTCATTTATTTATATTTGCTTTTGTTGACTGTGCTTTTGAGGTCATATCCAAAAAATCATTGACCAGATCAATGTCATGGAGCATTTCTATGATTTCTTTTAGTAGTTTAATAGTCTTATGTTTAAGTCTTTAATGCATTTTGAGTTGATTTTTGTATATGGTTTGAGGTATGCATGTAATTTCGTTCTTCAACATGTGGATATTCAGTTTTTCAACACCGTTTATTGAAGAGACTGCCCTGTCCCCATTGTGTGTTCTTGGCACCTTTGTTGAAAATCAATTGATTGTAAATGTATGGATTGATTTTTACGCTATTTTGTTCCATTGGTTTTTGTGTCTGTTTTTATGCCAGTGTCCTGTTGTTTTGATGACTATAGGTTCACAGTAGATTTTGAAGCCAGGTATTATGATGCCTCCCATTTTTTTTTGTTTGTTTGTTTTTTGATTCAAGGTTACTTTGGCTATGGATTTTTGTGGATCCAGACAAATTTTAGAATCGTTTTTTCTATTTCTCTACAAAATGACATTGGTACTTGGATAGAGATTGCATTGAATCTTTATTTGGGGTAGTATAGGTATTTTAAAAATACTAATTTTCCCAATCCATGAACATGAGGTATTTTTCAATTTTTGTGTCTTTTGTAATTTTAAATATCAGTGTTTTATAGTTTTCAAGTGTACAAATCTTTCACCTCCTCGGTTAAATTTGCACCTAGTTATTTTAATTAATTTATTTTTTAATTATGATTGTTTACTTAATTTCTTCTCAGATGATTGTTAGTGCATAGAAACACTACTGATTTTTGCATATTGATTTTGTAACCTGTAACTTTACTGAATTTGTTTATTTGAATAGCTTTTTTTGTTGTTGGAGTTCTTAGGGTTTTCCAAATAAAGGATCATGTCATCAGAAGAGACAGTTTCACTTCTTCATTTCCAATTTGTATGCCTTTTTTTCTTTTTCTTGCCTAACTGCTCTGGCTAGGACATTCAGTACTATGTTGAACAGAAGTGGTGAGCGTGGGCATCTTTATCTTGTTCTGGATCTTAGAGGGAAAGCTTTCAACTTTTTATCATTATGATATTAGCTGTGGGCTTGTAATATATGGCTCTTATTGTGTTGGCAAAAATAGATTCTCAGAATATAATCTCCAGATTTTGTAATCCACTGATACAATTACATACTGATTACCTACTCTGTAATATGGAATTTAAAAAATTCCATGTGTGATTTTCTAACTCTATCATAGGTCGGTAACCTCTATACATCTGGAAAGGCTAGATGTGGCAAATGTTTCCTTGTAAAAGTTTTGGGGGAAGCTGAGAGCAGCTTTCTCACATTATACACGCAGGTCTCCTATAAACGCCGGTACATCCTCCCAAAGCGTGATGGGAATCTCCAAATCGCTAAATGTGTCCTGTTACTCCGTTTCTCTTTTCCCACATCAACGTCTGGTAGAAGGAAGGCCAACTGCCCCATGGTCGCTACCATTCCACCCGTCCT
The DNA here is from genome assembly GCF_000001405.40 of Homo sapiens. Lineage (NCBI taxonomy): Eukaryota > Metazoa > Chordata > Mammalia > Primates > Hominidae > Homo > Homo sapiens. Next base: position 301,737 of record NT_167247.2, read on the forward strand.
CATCCGGGACTTCGCTGACCTTCCGGCCGTTAAGGCTGTTGTCTGTTGTCATCAGGACCAGGTAGGTCTCACCCAATTGGGACAGAGAGGTCCCCCGAGGACAGCATCTGCGCGGCGCCGTGGCCTAAAGAGGAGGCCAGGCCTCTCCCTAACTCCGCCTTCGCGGGCCCTGCACCCCAGCAGCCTCTGCGTGTTTCTTCCCGCCCGGCACACCCGCGGCCATCCAAAGGTGCTGTGTGCCGGCGGCCACCAGGTCACCGAGGTGGGGTGGGGAAGACAGGTTCGCCGCTGCTTCAGGCCTGGGATCTCTGCTGGAACTCTCTATATTTTTTAATCAATTTAAAATTTATAATAATGTATGTTTTTTAGGTATTGTTTTTACTGACAAATTTTATTTCTAGATCTTTCATCAGTTTTCTCACGCTGGTCAACAAATAGGCCTTCATCACACACTAATTTGTAATGTCATTCTTTTCATATTTACTGTTGTAATGTAAAACACACTAGGGTCTGTTTTGAGGCAATGTTGTTTCAATCATATGCAAATCAAACTCTTTTTCTTTTTTGAGACAGAGCCTCACTCTGTCACCCGGACTGGAATGCAGTGGCACAATCTCTGTTCACTGCAGCCTCGGCCTCCCAGGCTCACGTAATCCTCCCACTACAGCCTCCCGAGTAGCGGGGACTACAGGCACAGGCCACCACGCCCGGCTATTTGTTTGTTTTTTGTGGAGACAGGGGTGTCTCACTCTGTTGCCCAGGCTGGTCTCCAACTCCTGAGTTCAAGCTATCCTCCTGCCTAGGCCTCCCAAAATGTTGGGATTACAGGCAGGAGCCACTGCTCTTGACCCCAAATCAAACCCTTAGTAATATTTGATAGTATTTCAGTGCTGGCCAGAGCAAATCCTTGCTTATTATTCGTTTATGAAAATGGCTTGACTCTTCTAAGCTGTAATTTGACCAAATAAATCTTGAAATAAATTTGTTACAATCCAAACACAATGCAGACAATTATTTGAAATGTCTGCATTTAAATTTATATTTAAAAGTTATTTTTTGAAGAATGTGGCATGTCTCATTTTATTTGTTTTTCCCTTTTTCTTGGTAAAGATTAATAATACCTTAAAAATGTTCAACATATGTTAAGTTCATCTTTATTGATATCATTTTATTTAATTGCTCATTGCTTATTGTTGTTAGAGCTATATATGTATTTTTTAAATTAAATTTTTTTTTTAACTTTTATTTTAGGTTTAGGGGTACATATGCAGGTTTGTTACTTGAGTAAATTGTGTGTTGCTGAGGTTTGGTGTTCAAATCATTTTGTCACCCAGATAGTGAGCATAGTACCCAATAAGTAGTTTTTCAATCCTCACCCTCCTTCCTCCTGCCACCCTCAGGTAGGCCCAGGTGTCTGTTGTTCCCCTCTTTGTGTCTGTGTGTACTCAATGTTTAGCTCATACTTATAAGTGAGAACATGTGGTATTTGGTTTTCTGTTTTTGCATTAATTCACTTAGGATAATGGCCTCCAGCTGCCATCCATGCTGTTGCAAGGGACATGATTTCATTCTTTTTATGGTTGCATAGTATTCTGTGGTGTATATATGTCACATTTTCTTTATCCAGTCCACCACTGATGGGCATCTAGATTGATTCTATGTCTTTGCTACTGTGAATAGTGCTGTGATGAACATGCGAGTGAATGTGTCTTTTTGGTAGAACAATTTTTATTTCTTTGGGTATATACCCAGTAATGGGATTGTTAGGTCAAATGGTAGTTCTGAGTTCTTTGAGAAATCTCTAAACTGTTTTCCACTGTGGCTGAACTAATTGAAATTCCCACCAGCCGTGTGTAAGTATTCCATTTTCTCTGCAACCTCACTAACGTGTTATTTTTTGACTTTTTAATAATGTCCATTCTGACTGGTGTGAGATGGTATTTCATTGTGGTTTTGATTTGCCTTTCCCTAACGATTAGTGATACTGAGCATGTTTTCATATGCTTGTTGGACATGCGTATGTCTTCTTTTGTGAAGTGTTGGTTCATGTCTTTGCTCATTTTTAAATGGGGTTGTTTTTGCTTGTTGATTTGTTTAAATTTCTTATAGATTCTGGATATTAGACCTTTGTTGGATGCTTAATTTGCAAATATTTTCTCCTATTTTGTAGGTTGTCTGTTTAATCTGTTGGTAGTTTCTTTTGCTGTGCAGAAGATTTTAAATATTTATTCTGTATATTTCTTTTTCACGGAGTCTATAGGGATTTCTAATAACATAATTTTTTTGTGTTAAAAATGGAGTGGATTCTGTTATCTTAAAATAATGATAGTTTTCTTTCTTCTTATTTTTTGGGGGATATACCTGTATTTTTCAGCTAATGTAAAACAACAGAGTAGAAACTCTAGTTGATATTTGCTCTTAAGCATTTTAGTTCAGAGGGACTAAAAGCAAGGTGCAACAAATTAAGAAGTAATGAATAGTGTCTAATGAGAAAAATAGAGTGTGTTTTGAACTAGCCTAACCCAATTTGGTCATGCTCAGCAACAGGGTCATTTTTGGTAGTTAATCATAGTGGCTGAAAAAGGTGAAGTGGGCGTATGGTTAGCATTTACCACCACAATCCTATGTCCCAGTTATGATGAAAATGACTCTGATCAAATTCTGCCATGAATATAGAGATTAGTTAACCAGACATTAGCATAAGACAGTTTATGTCATCTGCTCTGTAAATTTAATAAATCCTCAGCTCTCTGCCCTTTAAAATACTCCAAAGTACCTTGTAGAAAGGTGTATTTGAAGAAGATAAGACAACAGAGGTAGGGTTTTACTTTCATGTCAGCATTGAGAAAGTGGAACTTATCCATAGTAGGACACAGGCCCATTTAGGGAACAAGTCTTGGGCACTACCCCTAAAGTTTAGGCTACACATCTTGCTAGGTTCTTATGCCCTTCATAGAAGAATAGGGAATGTTTCTAAAATATGTTAGATGACCCTCATATATTTGGTACCACTAATTTCAGGATGATAACTGATTTAAACCTCAATTATTATGTGAGTTGGCTAGGCATCAGATGTTGACCAAGAGGTAGATAACTGAAGGTCCTGTGGTAGCTGCCTTGGAGGGCAGCCTTTCTGGCTAAATGCTAGTTGACCTCCCCATCTAATAGTGTACATTTACTGATTAGAGCCACTCATGTCCATAAAATGTTATATATATATATATTTTTTTTTTTTTTTTTGAGACGGAGTCTTGCTGTCTCCCAGGCTGGAGTGCAGTGTCATGATCTTGGCTCACTGGGCTCACTGCAAGCTCTGCCTCCCGGGTTCACGCCATTCTCCTGCCTCAGCCTCCCGAGTAGCTGGGACTACAGGTGCCCGCGACCACGCCCAGCTAATTTTTTGTATTTTTAGTAGAGACGGGGTTTCATCATGTTAGCTGTGATGGTCTCGATCTCCTGACCTCGTGATCCACCGCCTCGGCCTCCCAAAGAGCTGGGATTACAGGCGTGAGCCTCTGTGCCTGGCCCATAGAATGTAATATTTGAATGAATAAATGCACTTATATCAATAGCCTGACAAAGTGTTTTAAAGTATACTACAGTTACCATGACAAAGTGTTTCTCTGAAGAAACTTGTCTATGAAGAATAATGAGATTGGTAAGAAAACATAAATAAAAAGAACTACCAAGGAACATTTCCATCCAACTGATTTTAAAGAGAATAAATTGACCTGGAGTTAATTACCTAGTAGAATTAATTTCTACACAGTGATTTGGAATTTGGGAGTACAATTAGTGAAAACAGGTACTGGAATTGCTCCAGTGTTGGGAATGGACCCACATATTCATAAATGGGTACTTATTGGTACTAGAAAATTTTCTACACAATTACTCTACATTAAATATTACTCCAGGTTTTCAGGACATGGAAGTAGCTTCTTTTTAAAAAATCCTTTTCATGTTACTTCTCCACCTAGATAGTTTCAAAAAGTGTATTATTTTTCAATTTCAAAATTTTATTCATTGAAACATAAACTTGGTCAGTTCTATTCAAGACATCAATATAAAGAGAAATGACTGAATTGTAGAAAGGTTTGTATAAATTAAATTGTAAAAGTGTGAGCTAAAAATATGCATTATTAATACAGAAAGCTTCTTAGTAATAATACCAAATATGTGCTCCTTATAATCACATGGATCAAAATTGTATACTCTTTAGTTAAGGGATGTAATGGGGAAAAATAGAAGATTGGAATTGTTTTAATTGCATCTGTGTTCTGAGGAATGGAGCAGCAGCAGCAGAAGAAAAGGTGTTCTTTTACTTAAAACAACAAATTCTATTTTCTAATGCAAGGTGAGTGTATCTTTACCCCTTATTCTAGTGTTTATAGAAGATAGAGCCAGACAAATATTTCTCTCTAAGTGATAGTGACATTATTCCTTCACAGACACTACAGTTGAAAGAATTGGAGGTCCTAGGTCAGAGACAAAGACAGATTGGAATAGAAGTTGGGACCGAAAGTAAATAAGATCTTCCAAAACATGGAGCAAGGGGGACCTAAAAAAGCAGACATCCAGAGAGCAAAGCTCTGTGGTAGGGATTGCTAAGGAATTTTAAGAAGTCAAATATTCATTAGGCAATGTTTTCCTTTTTATCCTGCAGTATAATCCTCCTTTATTATTCCCAGTTCTTTATGAAAATCCCACTAACTGCATTCCCCACTTGTTAGTGGTACTTTAGAGAATAAAAGAAAATAGGCTTGGTTCACTGGCAAGAGGACAAGAAATAGTCTTTAAGTGGAGAAGAAGCTGTTTCGTACAGTAGAAATTGGTAAGGACAGTGGCCACAGGGACTCAACTGTGAGAGGAGGTTAAAAATTTATCAGGAGCAGTATTTTAAACAAAAATCCTCAAAAATAATAGAATCCTTCTCCCATAGAAAATAATTTTCAGAAATACAATGGAGAGTGTCAGAATTTCTTCAGAAAGTAGAAAGAATTTTAAAATTTAACTTATGCAGGTTGGGCACGGTGGCTCACGCCTGTAATCCCAGCACTTTGGGAGGCCGAGGTGGGTGGATTACCTGAGGTAAGGAGTTCGAGACCAGCCTGGCCAATATGGTGAAACCCTGTCTCTACTAAAAATACAAAAGTTAGCCGGATGTGGTGGCACACGCCTGTAGTCCCAGCTACTCGGGAGGCTGAGGCAGGAGGATGGCATGAACCCGGGAGGTGGAGGTTGCAGTGAGCTGAGATTGTGCCACTGCACTCCAGCCTGGGCGACAGAGACAGACTCCATCTCAAAAAAAAAATTAACTTATGTATTAATACAAAAACCAATATCAGAAATGCCAGAGACCTGGATGAACTGATATCTATAAAAGTGATAAAATGAATCAATGTACTTCAGTAAGTTGGGTACATATTTAGACTTATAAATTATCAGCATCTATACCCAGGTATCGCTTGAAAAATGTTACCAATTAATAATTAGCTTAATTTTTACAGCATGTTTGAAAATTTGATATGCCATATCATTTTTATGCAACATACTTCAATAATACATGTCAGTAAATTTATTTAAGATATAAATATTCATTGTGAAGTAGGTAAATGTATGTACTTGCAAAGATACCCAAACACATCAATTAAAATAATGGGATTAGAATTGGATAATAAGTGCATATATATGTATTTGACCTCTAGAGGTTCCTGTACTTCAAAATTCATCACTATATGACAATTGAGTATCATAGCATCTTCTGCTTGAATCCATTTATAAGTTTTTGTTTAAGAAGTGAGAGAAAATTAATAATTGTTATGAATATAAACAGATACAGTAAAAATGGCATTTCATTTTCTCTAGATATTCATGATTCTCTGAATTTGAATAATGTATTTTTTAGATTATAGTCTTCTAAAGAAGAGAAATATTGAAAGAATTAGCTATTTACTTGCACTGAGGGGAGTCATTATGTGCATTTTCTACTATGGTTTTCTTAGTCCACCACTCCTCAAGTTATGATGGTTGACTCAGAAGGGTTGCTTTTATCTTTAATCATAAATCATTATGAATTTCCTTGTCTGAACTAGTCAACATCTACCATGTTGTGGTTAATTGGTACCAATCAGAGTTGAACTTCTTGTGGAAGAATCTGGAGATGTCCATATGAAAGGAAAATAGGCAGTAAACTAGATTGTATTATATTGCATTTTTCCAACACTAGGCATATGTGGTTTTGAAAATTACCTATTTACTGAGTGTTTTGTGAGTGGCAGAAACATTTTCCTGCCCTGGCCAAGGGCTAACCTTAGAAAAAGATAAATGTGATGGGTATAAAATCTAAGAGAGCTGACTTAGTTTCAGGATATTGTTAAGCCCTTTGAGACTGGTGCTCCACAACAGTAATTAAGCATAATTATGATGCAGGTCAAGGTAAGACATTTCTGAAATTTTCTAGGACATGTTTTTGAAGGCTTGGGATATTCTGCTTAGCTCATATTTGTGTATTTTTTTTTTAGTTAAAAATGATAACAAGATGATTTTTGCTCTGTTTACAAACATTTGCATGAACACTGAAAAATTCATCCAAATCGTTAAAAATATTCAATGCCTACTAAGAGTCATGGAACCCTATTATATGATGGTGAATCGAGAAAGAACTATACAAAATTATGCTTTCAAGAAACTTATAATTACATTGGCTAGAGGCTTATCAGTTCTATAAATAATATTTACAAAACAATGCAATTCTAACCTTCATAGAGATTTGTATGGCTTGTTAAGAGAACCATAGTCTAAGACAATGGGCTTCAGCAGGGGGGCACACTCTGGGATGCAGAGACTTTTGTAGGGTTATAAAGTTAGTTTTAAGGAAATAACTTCCAGATCCTCCTTGTTCCTTTGTTTTCTTCGCTAACATTTTCTTGAGGAAATGCCAGGTTGAGGAGTTAGACAGGTTCTCTTTCCAGCCTTCACTTTCAAAGATCCCTTCTCCTCCTTCACAAAAGAAAGGCATAATTACCATCTCTACTGATCTTACTGTAACATATCATCCACATTGTGAAAACCAGTGGTACACCAAAGAAAGGGACAACTCAAAATGCTAGTGGTGTGCTGCTCATCATTAAAGATGACATGATGGAAGAGAAAATATATATTTTTAGATTCTAGCAGTGTGTCTTTCTAGATCTATCTAGATTGGCTACTATTATTAAATAATGGGCACTTTTAGAGAAAGGTATCAGATCATGGCAAAAATAAAAGTTTAATTAAAAAGTAATCACATTGTCCCATAAAAGCTAAATATTATATTATGATAAATAGAAATAAAAAGATTTATTCTGTTATGCAATTCCACTACATATAAACATTACCACATTTCTAAAAATTCACGTAAATCCGCCAGTTCCACAGATGTATGTCAAAAGCCTAACTGGTTTCAAACTAGTCATATTATCTTTCCATTAAGTTGAGACAATCATGGAATAAACATTTAACGAATGAAAGAGAAATTGATAAGACTGTGTCATTACCTTTAAAACCCTTTAATTTGTGGCTTTATATTACGATAGAGTAGTAATAGACTTAAATAGCAGAGACCCTTTACTCAAGATATCGATTTGAAATTTCATTGAAAAAAGAGTGAATTGTTTTAAATGGGGCTTATGACAATTACTGTCTTATAAACTGCACTGTTTGCATCAAACACAAATAAATATTTGGGTGGCATTACAAAAGATTGGGTGTACAAAATCATTATTGTGTATATGTATATTTTTTCTCAAGCTCCAATAGAATGAACATTATGGGTATATTATTTAATATACACACCATAATGTATATGAAACCATTTGCTCAGGTCTATACTTTGGAAGAGGCAAGGATTAACATTGAAAATACAAAACTAGATAACCAAAACAGTTTCTATGTGGTTTTAGAATAAATTAAATGCATTCAAATTTATGTTTACATCCCATTTGTGTTTTATTTCAAGCAAAAATAAAATTTCTAATGATCTGTTTTCTCTGATGATATACCAATGATCAGGGACATAAAGGAGCTAAGTAGAATGGTTGTAATTTTGTTTGCATCTACAAAATGTTTGTATATAATAATTATATTTATGGATCTCCATGACCTAGGAATTACTTGCGTTTGTAAAAATTAAAGAAAATTAGAAAACATATTTAATTGCCTTATTCACTCTAGTCTTTATCTATGACTTGCAATTCCTCTTTATTTTTGTAGATTTGTGGTGAAATCTCATCAGTTTCTTCAGGGCATCCTTCATGTCCTTATTTCTTAAGGTGTAAATGAGCGGGTTGAGACTTGGAGTGATGACGGTGTAAAAGAGGGTGAGGAACTTGCCCTGGTCTTTGGAAGCCCTGTTACCTGGTTGCAGGTACATGTAGATAATAGTTCCATAGAACATAGACACTACAGTAAGATGAGATCCACAGGTATTCATTGCTTTTCGCTGGCTTGCTTTTGACTTCGTTCTCAGCACAGCTTTGGCAATGTAGCCATAGGATATAAGAATAAGGATGAGAGGTGTGAGGACAATTATAATGCCTAAAGCGAAAACAGACATTTCAACTGTTGTGGTGTCTACACAAGCTATCTTGACCAGAGCTGGCAACTCACACAAGAAATGATCCAGAATGTTGTTTCCACATGTGGGCAAATTCAGAGTGAGTGTACATAATACTACAGAATTGGCCAAACTAATACTCCAGATCATGATAATCATCTTTAGACATAGATGTGGGTTCATGACTACAAAATAATGCAAGGGCTTACATATAGCTGTAAAACGATCATAGGACATAACAGCCAGGAGAAGGCACTCAACTGAGCCCAACCACATGTAAACATAGAGTTGGATGATACAACCCACATAGCTGATGGTCTTATCAGGTCCCCACAAGTTGACCAGCATCTGAGGGATGATGCTGGTTGTGAAACATAGATCTAGGAAAGATAAATTTCTGAGGAAAAAGTACATTGGTGTATGAAGCTGGGAATCCAGGAGAGATGCAAGAATGATGGCTGTGTTACCCACCAATGTAATTAAGTAGAAGATGGCGACAACTCCTGACAGGATCATCTCCATTTTTGGATGGTTAGAGAAGCCAAGCAGAATAAAACCATGTAAAGAACTATAATTGCTTTGGTCCATAGTCCTTCAATGTCTAAATCCTAGAGTGAGAAAAGGAGGAGGAGGAGGTAGATGATGATACAAGGATAAGGAGAAGGAAGAAGAAGGAAGAAGAGGTAGAGGAGGAGAAGGAGGAGGGAGAGGAAGAAGAAAAGGAAAAGAGGAAGAAACAGTTTGTCAACATGAACTATCTAAATAATTTGATAAAATTAGAACTAAACAAAGATAATTTATGTTACTAATTGAAAAAATTTAATGGATAAAAGTAAAAATTACAGCCAAGAAATCTGCTATTTGTCATAGATTCTTTTATGGCAATGAGTTTAATATTAGATTTTTTAAAAAAAATCCAGGTGACCTTGGGGAGTTCACTTTTAAACTTGAGGTCTGAATTATCTAACGTGTAGATTTGAAAGTTTGAAATAGATGCTGGTTCTAAAATGACCCTATGATTCTTTATAAGCTAGTTAGCTTGATAAAATGAACATATTCTTTTATTTGATCAGTAAATTCACCTATAAAATTTAAGTACTGGGCTAATGGTAGGATGAGGAAAAGATGTGATAACCTGGAGGATGAACCTGGGGACATCATGCTAACTGAAGTAAGCTGAAAGACAAATATTGCATGATTTCATTTATATATGGAATCCAAAAAAGTTGAACTCATAGAGGTAGAGAGTGGGGGCAGGAGATGGATGGGAAAAGGGGAGATGTTGATCAAGGGTACTAAGTTTCAGTTAGAAAAAAGGAACCAGTTTTAGTGATCTCACAGAATGGTGACTACAATAAACAATAATGCATTGTTTATTTCAAAATTACTAAGAGTAGATTTTAAGTGTTTTCACCACAAAAAATAAGTATGTTAGGTGATGGGTTTGTTAATTAGCCTGATTTAATCATTACACATTATAAACATATATTAAAACATTATATTGCACCCCATAAACATATACAATTGTTGCTTAATTAAAAATAAACCTTAAAAAAGAGTGAGGAAAGATTGTTCTTTTTTCATATCTTAGTGACTAAGCACCTTTGATCTCCTAGTTTGTTATGTAGGACATCTGGTGTTTACCCTTGGACGCTTTGTCTCTCTCATTCTTAACGCCTTATCACCAAAACTGGTAAATTTGGATGCAAATATATATGCTAATTATCCTATCACTTTAAAAAATCCCTACCACCACAACCCTAATTCAAATCACTATGATTTCTTTTCTGGATTCTGGCAATAGTCTTGCATCCAGTCCTTGCATCCAGTCTTATGCCTTTACATTGTTACAACATTTGATGAAATCATGTCATCCATCTCCTTAAAACTTGTCAGCCACTTTACACTACATTTAAGAAATACTATATTGTATACTTAAAATTTTGCTAGGAGGGTAGATCTTATGTTAAGTGTTCTCATCACACGCACACACATACACAACACAATAAAGAAGGTGGGAGGAAACTGTTGGAGGTGATGGATGTATATATGGGATAGATTGTGTTGATGGTTTCACAGGTATATACTCACCTTCAAACTCATCAAGTTGTATACATTAAATCTGTACTGCTTTTGTATGTCAGTCATACTTCAATAAAGTGGTCAAAAAGCTAATATAAAACATTTGGTTAAAAAATAACAGCCATTAGCCAGGTGTGGTGGCGTACTCCTATAGTCCCAGCTACTCAGGAGGCTGAGGCGGGAGGATCACTTGAGCCCAGGAGTTTGAGGTTGCGGTGAGCTATGATTGCACCACTGCACTCCACCCTGGGTGCTGGAGCAAGATCCTGTCTCAAAAACAAACAAAACCCAGATAAATATCAAACTGGTGCTTCTTCTCTCTCTTTATATAGATGTAGTACAAAAAGTTGTGCTTTTTTTGTTTGTTATGCCATTTCAAATATGTTTTTTTGAATGTTATTAAGAAATTACTTCCAACTGTGGCCATGATTCAAAAGTGGATACATTTGTGAGACTAACCGGAGATGGTGGTTGAAATAGCCGTTTTGAGAAAATCATTTTGTGATTTCTTTAGCATTAGCTTTTCAAAAATTATGATTTGATTCTGAGTTTTGCCATTAATCAAATTGGATAGAAAGAAAAATAATTCTCTGAAAGATATTTCAAGCTGTCACACCCCATTAAAGTTCCATAATGTCTGAGCAGGGGCATCAATAATTAATGCTTATTTATTTTAACAGACTCGTTGATGTGTATAATTGTGCCTAACTTCTGAATAAAATAGGGCTTCAGTTAAAATTATATAAAAACCTGAAAATTCTTTTAAAATTAAAATCAATATTATGCTGTTAATTTCTTAACTATTTCATTATTACTACAGTCCATAAAGATTAACTCAGGAAAGAATAAAAATCCTCCTTCTGCCTATTAAAAAGTGACATAGAAAAATCTTCAAATAAATTTTCATGCACAGTATGAGATTTAGAAATGGATACATAAAATCTGAGTCCTTTATGGCTCCACAACCTTCAAGAATAAAATATTTTGCTGACAAGTTTCACAAATGGCATTAAAAAACAAAACAAAACAAAATTAAAAACAAGTATCTGAATTCTTCATTTTCAATTTAATCTATCTTTCTCGCTTTTGTTTCTGCTGGATCAATATTTATTCTCAGACTTCTGAAATAAAACCAGCCCATACAGATCTAAGTTCTTTTTCTTCTACTTTCTACAAATTGTTTTACCAATCCAGGCATACTGTTTCTCCAAGAGATTAAGGATGAACATTACTGTGATCCAGAGGGAGTTCCTTTGCCATTCTACTTCTCGACTTTTGTAGAATCCACACTATGGAAAATAGATCCCGGTTAAGCATTTTTTTCTCCAGGGCTGTAAATTTCTCATGATTTCCCTGCAGTGCCACGGAGAATTCTGCTTTTCCCAAAGTGTGTTAGGGTAGAGATTCTCAACAGGACTCCTCCTTCTCGAATATATGACTTCAAGTAAGAGGATGAAACCTGTCACAAATTCTTACTTCTTGTTCTGAGTTTAAATCAACCTGCAAGTAGGTCTTGACCATAGAGAAACATTAGGAAAAGCAACCGGATAATTCAGAATCAGAATTGAACAAAATTTCCCAGTATTACCTGAAGACTCAGATAATCAAAAAGATTATCTAAACCATTGGGACTGCATCCAATTAACTTTACTAGAGTACAGTGTCATAGAAAATGCCAGCCTAGAATTAGACCATACCCTAATATTTCACTAGGGCAGGTTTAGTAGATGTAAAAGTTATTTAATATGAAGGAAAACTATAGGACAAAGAAATAAGAAAATGTATTTTCATATTTTTTTGGTTGTGAATGTATTATAATATAAAATTTACTCTTAAATAATGTAGATTTCCAACACTACAATTATACTTAGCTACAGAAAAATCTTACCATTCAAAGCACAAATATTGATTGTGGAACTAAACTTGCTCTGAGCAGATATCATTTAAATGAGGTACCTCTAGTGGTTATCTCTGATACCCATGGTCAGAACAGTTGTATTTGAAAGAGATGTTTAATCCCCAAAGCTCTAAACAGTAAGACCAGAATCATAAGATTTACATTTTTTCTCAGTTGTTTTGGTGACCATGAGGGATGATTCAAATACTTCATTGTCTACGACAATTAGTTTTGTTGTTGTCTCAGAGGTCACTATTTACACATTAAATTCTAGAGTAAGTATATACTATGAAAATTTTTGTGAGTTGGCTTATAATCATAGGTTTTAACAGCTTCCTTAAATTAAAATTACATATCAGTAATAATTGGTTTTAATAAAATACATAAGCACGAATTGGCTGCCTCATGATACATGTTCAAATGTGGATGACATTACTGATCAATAAAATAATTTTAACTATCTGCTTCTGTACGATAATCAATATATTTTACACTTGAGATATAGTATAGTGTAATGGTTAGATGGATAGATTGTGGAGCCAGACTTTCTGGGCTGAAATCCTGGTGGCTACAGTTACCAGATGTGTGAACTTGGGAAAATTACTTAACCTTCATTGCCTCCGATTTCTTATCTATAATAGGGGATATTATAATACATAATTTAAAGGGCGAATGTAAGGATTCAATAAGTTTAACATATGTAAATACTACAGTACTGGTTGGCACACAGCATCCAAATAAGTATTAACTATTACAATTTCAATCAGTTCAGGGTGTCTGTGTGCTGCAGAAATATTTGGGGAAAGTTTATGCTGACATTTGATAAAACATCTGGAAAATACTCTCCTTATAAGCACTTCCTTTAGGATTTTATATATAATACACACATATATGAAATATATATACTATATACATAGTATATACATATGTATGTGTATGTATTCTTTATAAATGCTATAATAATGATGATAAAAAGAAACATAACATCTAATGGTACATTTTTGTCTATCAAGATTCTAAACATCTGAATACTTGATCTGTTCACTTTGACTGGAGATCTCAGTTTCACTTATGTATTTTTCTCTTCCCCTTTAGTCAAATTTTCTACAGTTCTCCTTTTTCTTTTAAAAACCACTTTAAAGTTATAATTGAATTTCACAATTTCAATTCAACCATAGCAAATATTCAATTTTCATTTGAAAAACAAAAATGTATATAAATTGTCATGCCCACCCATGTTTCTGGTTTAAATACATTCCTACACAGTGACTTTTCTAGTCCCTTGCTCCTTATTCTGTGATTAAAATCCATGGGTTTGTTACTCTGGAGAAATTATAGAGAAATCCTTTGGATTTTTGAATTAATTTTTAAAAAGGTTTTCATTTGTTATCAAAAAATGGATATACCCAGCTTGTAAAGCAGATGCCCTTGCCTTAAACTTTAATATAAGACCTTTCCATACCCCTTTGAATAAATCAAGACATGTTTTCCTGTTTCCTTTTTATTTAACAATTTTTTCCCTTGCTTACTTTAGCCCTTAACTTATGGAAACCATTTAAAGTGAAGTTATTAGCAGTGCTTCCACAACTGGCCGCATATCAGAGTAACTGTATTGGCTGGCATATGTAGAAATTTTAGAAATACAGTGTCCTGAGATTCCTATGCCCTTGCCAAAGGCTCAATTCTTTTCTGTTTATACTGTGTCCCTAGATAGAATCTTAGAGTTTTAAGGATTTGAATCCCATCTACATATTGATGGCTTTCAAGTGTCTATTTCCAGTCTTCTACATTGAGCATGGAATAGGTAGTTCCAACTGCCTAATTTCATGCACAAAATTATGAGTCTAAACATAGCTAAAATAGATCTCTTGATTGCACTGAATCTGCTCTCATTCCAGTCTTCCTCATTGTAGTAAATGATATAAACATGTACCTATTTCTGGCCAGAAACCAGTAATTAAGGAGTTATCCTTAATTACTAGCCTGCCCTCATCTTGAAAATCTGAATGATTCCAAGCTCGACTTCTCTCCATTTCCAGAATGACTAACAAACTGGGCCACCCTATTTTTCCTGGATTACCCAATGGATTACTATCTTGTTTCTCTGCTTTAATTCATTCCCCTCTCAATCTATTCTCCATATGGCGGCCAAAAGCGTTCTTTAAAAAAACCACACGTTGGCTGGGCGCGGTGGCTCACGCCTGTAATCCCAGCACTTTGGGAGGCCGAGGCGGGCAGATCACCTGAGGTCAGGAGTTCGAGACCAGCCTGATAAACATGGAGAAACCCCGTCTAACAATACAAAATCAACAATACAACAATACAAAATTAGCCGGGTATGGTGGCGCATGCCTGGAATCCCAGCTACTCTGGAGGCTGAGACAGGAGAATCGCTTGAACCCGGGAGACAGAGGTTGCTGTGAGCCGAGATCGCACCATTGCACTCCAGCCTGGGCGACAGAGCGAGACTGTGTCTCGAAAAAACAAAAAACAAAACCCAAGAAAACCAAAACCACAAATCAAGTATTTCCATTTGCCAATTTGAAATCTTTTTAGACTTCCTATGCACTTAACTATAAAATTCAGACTCCTTACCAAGAACTACCAGATGCACCTTGCCTGGCTCCTTTTCATCCCTCCCTCCTTCTCCCATTCGTCTCATGCCTTTGTCATTCCAGGGTTGCAGGTGTTAAAGTGTCTTTGCATTGAATTTCATTGGCCTGGCAGATTCTGTCCCCAAATTGAACTCCTTGTTTGTAATCGTTTTTCAGATATAATCTATTCAACGAGATCTTCCTTGACTACTTAATCTAAATTAAAATCCCTCCTCCCCAGCTAATCTCTATCACATTTCCATGTGTTTTTCGTAGCACTTATCACTCTAAATTTTGTTTTTTTTAAATGTATCTCCCCACAATTAAAACCTAAGATCCAAACGAATATGGATCTGATCCCCCTTTTTTGCCACGTAACTGAATGAATCAATTCAACAAATTTGATTAGCAATAGAAATATAGCAAACAACTAAATAGACAAAACAGTAAAGTCCCTGACTTAATGGAGCTTACTTTTATTTGTGAAAACAAGCTCATCAGCCAAATTATATATAGTGTTTTATTTGTTCATTGCTTTTTTTTTCTTTCTTTTTTTATATAACATCCCACCAAATAGAAACATTCTCTCTTTAGGAATAGTGTTCCGTGTAGATGTTGATTTCTTACTATGCAATTTTACGGACATTGTCTTCCAATATTTCCGTAGACTAATTGGTCAGGACCTGATAGCCCTGTGATAATGCTGCACTCAGCATTCCTTGATGATGCTATATTAGCTTCCAGTGGCTGTTTGGTGCCTGGAAGGGAGTCTAGCATGTAACAGGGATCAATAATTGTTTGTTGACTATAAAGCAGTTAGAACAATATCTGATGTGTATATTAAATATCCCATTCAGTCAAGGTTATCTAGGGTGATATATTCAAGAAATATAATGCTAACTCATTTATGTGGTGATGGAGATCCGTGTTTAATGATATTGATCATCAAATAGCCTGGATAAAGAGTATGTTCCCAGAAGAAAGAGATTTCTGAGACTGCTTTTATGTTATCCTTTACATTTCTATTTTTTGACTCTTTTTTTTTTGGCTTTTGGCTTTTGGCTTTTGGGTCTCACTCTGTCACCCAGGCTGAAGTATAGTGGTGTGATCATGGCTCATTTTGGCCTCAAACTCTTGGGCTCAAGCAATCCTCCCATTTCAGTCTTTCCAGTCACTGGGATTAATGGTGTGTGCCACAAAACTTGGCTCTGTTTGATTTTTTTTTTTTGGTGGACCATATATTTTACCAAAATATCTGAAATATTGTAAATGATATTTTTTGAAATATCGGAAAATATTTTTGGTATATTTTGGGGAAAAATACAAAACCAAAACAATCTACCTATTTACCTTCTCGTGAACTTATGAAATCAAATATTTTAAGCCTTATTTTCCCCAAACCGTATATGATTCTCTCAATAGTTGCAGAAAAATCTTCTGATAAAATCCAACACCTCTTCATGTTAAAACCCTCAATAAACTAGGTATCCAAAGAACATACTTCAAAATAATAAAAGCCATTTATTTCAGTCCCACAGCCAACATCATACCAAATAGGTAAAAGCTGGAAGCATTCCCTTTAAGAACTGGAATAAGACAAGAATTCTGACACTACTCTTATTCAACGTAGTACTGAAAATCCTAGCCAAATAAATCAGGCAAGAGAGAGAAATAAAAAGCATCCAGATAGGAAAAGAGGAGTCAAATTATGCTATGATTCTATGACTAGAAAACCCCAAAGACTCTGCCAAAAGGCTTCTAGACCTGATAAAACAACTTAAGTCAAGTTTGAAGATACAAAATCAATGTAAAAAATCAATAGCATTTCTATACACCAATAATGTTCAAGCTGAGAGCCAAATCAAGAATGTAATTCCCTTTAAAATACACACACACACACACACACACACACACACACACACACACACACACACAAAATCTAGGAATACTTCTAACCAAGGAAGTGAAAGATTTCCACAAAAAGAACTACAAAGCACTGCTGAAAGAAATCATAGATGACACAAACAAATGGAAAAACCTTCCATGCTTATGGATTGGAAGAATCAACAACATAAACAAAATGTCTAAATTTTACCGCCTAAAGCAATCTACAGATTCAACACTATTCCTATTAAATTACCAACGTCATTTTACACAGAACTAGAAAAAATGATTCTAAAATTACACGGAACCAAAAAAGAGCCCAAATAGCCATAACAATCCTAAGCAAAAAGAGCAAAACTGGAAGCATCACATTACTGGACTTCAAACTATGCTACAAGTCTACAGTAATCAAAACAGCAAGGTACTGGCACAAAAATAGGCACCTAGACCAATGGAACAGAATAAAGAACCCAGAAATAAAGCAGCATACCTACAACCAACTGATCTTGAACAAAGTCGACAAAAATAAGTAATGCAGAAAGGACTCCCTATTCCATAAATGGTCCTAGGAAAACTGGCTAACTATATTCAGAAGGATGAAACTTAACCCTTACCAAGCACCATATACAAAAATTAATTCAAGAAAGATTAAAGACTTAAATGTAAAGCCCCAAACTATAAAAATCCTGGGGAAAACTCAGAAATACCTTTTTGGACATTGGCCTTGGCAAAGAACTTATGACCAAGTCCTCAAAAGCAATTGCAACACACAAAAAATTGACAAATGGGACCTAATTAAACCAAAGAGCTTCTGCACAGCAAAAGTACCTATCAACAGAATAAACAGACATCTTACAGAATGGGAGAAAATATTTGCAAACTATGCATCTGACAAAGGACTAATATCCAGAATCTATAAGGAACCTAAACAAATCAACAAGAGAAAAACAAATAACCCCATTAAAGAATGGGCAAAGAACATGAATGGACAATTCTCAAAAGAAGACATAAAAGCAGCTAACAAACATATAAAAAATGCTCGAACACTAATCATTAGAGAAATGCCACTCAAAACCGCAATGAGATACCATCTTGCACTAGTCTGAATGGCTATTACTAAAAAGTAAAATAATGACAGATATTGATGAGGCTGCAGAGAAAATGGAACACTTTTATACTGCTGGTGGGAATGTAGATTAGTTCAGCCACTATGGAAAGTAGTTTGGGAATTTCTCAAAGAACTGAAAATAGAATTACCATTCAACCTAGCAATTCCATCACTGGGTATGTGCCTCCCACCCAAATAAATTGTTCTACCCAAAAGACACATGCATTCACATGTTCATTGCAGCACTATTCACAATTGCAAAGACATGGAATCAAGCTAGGTGCCCATTAATGGTGGATTGGATAAAGAAAATGTGGTACATATACAGCATGGAATGCTACACAGCCATAAAAGAGAACGAAATAATGTCCTTTGAAGCAATATGGATGCAGCTGGAGGCCATTATCCTTAGCAAATTAATGCAGAAATAGAAAACCGAACACCACATCTTCTCACTTGATTTAAAATTTAAGGAGATAAATCCTGGGTACATACAGACATAAAGATGGAAACAGTAGACACTAGGGATTCCAAAAGGAAGGAGAGGAGGAGAGGAGCAAGGACTGAAAAATTTCCTATTGTATACTATATTCACTGTCTGGGTGACAGGATTAATATAAGCCCAAACCTCAGCATCACACAATATACCCTTGTAATAAACCTGCCCATGTATCCCCCTGAATCTAAACTAAAAATAGAAATTTAAAAAACCCCTTTTTCATAGTAATCATAAAATATACACTTATGCAATTTATGAAAATAATATAGTTTTACCTCTGTTCTTTTCACTGCAGCTTTGTGAAGGTATAATTAACAAGTAAAAATTGCATACACTTACTATGTGTATGATGTTTTGACATATGTATATATTGTGAAGTGATTACCACAAACCAGCTAATTAACCTATCCATCAGTTGACATATTTTTTCTTGTTTTGTGGTGAGAATATTTAAGATGTACTCTCTTAACAAATTTCAAATATTAAATACTGTATTGTTAACTATATTCACCATGCTGCATATTAAATCCCCAGAACTTGTTCGCCTTATAACTGAAAGCTTGTACCTTCTGACCAACATCTCCCTATTTTCCCCTCCCCCAGCTTTTGGAAACCACCATTCTAATTCTATTCTCTGTTTCTGTGAATTCAGCTTTTTAAGATTTCATGTATAAGTGAGTTCATATCGTATTTGTCTTTCTCTGATTCATGTATTTTACTAAGCATAATGCCAACAAGGTTGATCCATGTTGTTGCAAGTGGCAGAATTTCCTTCTTTTTGATGGATGCTTGGTTTGTTTCCAAGTGTTGGCTAATGTGAATGATGCTACATTGAACACAAGAGTGCATATATCTCTTTGACATACTATTTTCGTTTCCTTTGGGTATATACCCAGCAGTGGGATTGCTGGATAAGATGGTAGCTCTAGTTTTGATTTTTGAGGAACCTCCATACTGTTTTCTAAAATGGCTGTTCCAATTTACATTCCCACCAGTAGTGCATAAGGATTCCCTTTCTTTCTGAATCCTTGCCAATACTTGTTATCTCGTCTCGATAATAGCCATCCTAACATGTTGGCTGATCTCATTGGGGTTTTAATTTTCATTTCTCTCATGAATAGTGCTGTTGAGCATTATCATTATTTCACGTATCTGTTGGCCATATGTATGTCTTCTATTGAGAAATGTCAGCTCAGGTCCTTTGGCCGTTTAAAAATCAATTTATTGTATTATTTTTGCTATGGAGTTGTTTGAATTCCTTGTATTTTTTGGATATTAACTCCTTATCAGATTTGTGAGTTACGTAAGATAATGGTTCAATTTTATTATTTTGCATATAGATACTAAGTTTTCCCAGCACCATTTATTGAATCAAGTATCCTTTCTCCTGTATATTCTTGACACATTTGTCAAATATTAGTTAGTTGACCATATATGTGAGGATTTATTTTTGGGGACTTGATTCTGTTCCATTGGTTTGTGTGTCTGCTTTTATGCCAGTATCATACAGTTTTGATTCTTATGGTTCTGTAATATGGTTTCAAGTCAGGAAATGTGATGCCTCAGCTTTTCTGTTGTTGTTGTTCAAGTTGTTTTGGCTATTTATGTTTTTTTGTGGTTCCATACATATTTTAGAATTTTTCCTCCAATGCTGTGAAAAATATCATTAGAGTTTTGATAAGAATTGCATTGAATCTGTCAATTACTTTGGGTATTATGGACATTTTAGTAGTATTAATTCTTCTATTCCATGAGCATGAAATATTTTAAACATTTATTTGTATTTTCTTCAATTTATTTCATCAATATTTTATAGTTTTAAGTGTAAAGATTAATCACTTCCAGGGTTAAATTTATTTCTAAATATTTTATTCATTTTGATGATACTGTAAATGGCATTTGTTTTTCCAGATAATTCAGTGTTACTGTACAGAAACACAATTATTTTATGGCACATGTATACATATGTAACTAACCTGCACAATGTGCACATGTACCCTAAAACTTAAAGTATAATAAAAAAAAAAGAAACAATTATTTTTTCCATTGACAAATAAAAATTGTATTTCTTTACAGTATACAATCATGGTGTTTTGATATATGAATACATTGTGGAATGGCTAAGTTAAGCTATTTAACATATTTATTACCTCCTTTTTTGTGATGAGAATATTTAAAATATAATATTTTGGCAATTTTTAAGAATACAATATATTGTTATTAAGTATGGCCATCATGATGTACAATAGATCACTTGAATTTATTCCTCCTAACTGAAATTTTGTATCCTTTCACTAAGATCTGTCTGTATTCCCCACCCCACAGCCTCTGGTAAGCACCATCTTACTCCGTTTCTGTCAGTTTAACTGTTTTAGATTCCATTTGTTTCTCTGTGTCTCACTTATTTCACTTAATGTCCTCCAGGAAATACATGTTATAATTAATGGCAAGCTTTCTTTCTTTTTTAAAATTACTGAATAGTATTCTATAGTGTATATAAACCACATCTTCTTTATCCATTTTTTGTTGATGGACACTTAGGTTGATTTTTGCTATTGTGTATATTTTTGCTATTGTGTATATTTTTGCTATTGTGTATAATGCTGCAATGAACATGGGAGTGAGATATCTTTTCAAATAAGGCTTTCTTTGGGTATATATCCAGAACTGGGATTCCTGGATCATATGATATTTCTATTTTTAATTTTTTGAGGAACCCCCTTACTATTTTCCATAAAGGCTATACTAATTTATATTTCCACCAATAGAGTGCAAGGGTTTTCTTTCTCTGCATCCTCTCCAACATTATCTTTTATTTTTTTTGATAATAGCCATTCTAACATGTGTGAGGTGATCTCACTGTGGTTTTAATTTGCATTTTTCTAATGATTGGTGATGTTGAGCATTTTTTATATACCTGGCCATGTCTTTGAGAAATGTCTATTCAATCATTTGTCCAATTTTTCATTGGGCTGTTAGTTTTCTTACTACTGAGTTGTTTGAGTTCCTTATTTATTTTGCATATTAAACACATCAGATGTATGGTTTGCAAATATTTTCTACTAATATTTCTTTGGGTTGTCTATTCACTCTGTTGATTGTTTCCTTTTCTGTGCAGAAGCTTTTTAGTTTGATGTAATTCTATTTGTCTATCTTTATTTTTGTTGCGTGTGCTTTGAGGATCACCTAAAAAAACCATTGCTCAGGCCAATGTCATGGAGGTTTTCCCCTATGTTTTCTTCTTGTAGTTTTAAAGTTTATGGCATTATGTCTAACCTTTTAGTTAATTTTGAGTTGAGTTTCGTAGGTGGTGTGAGATGAGGGTCTAATTTCATTCTTCTGCAGGTGGACATCCAGTTTTCCAAACACCATTCATTAAAGAGACTGTTCTTTTCTCATTATGTGTTTTTGGCACTTTTGTTGAAAATCAGTTGGCTGTAAATACTTGGATTTATTTCTAGGTTCCTTATTCTATTGTATTGGTCTATGTGTCTCTTTTTATGCCAGTACCATACTGTTTTTATTACCATAGCTTTGTAGTATATTTTCAAATTAAGTACTATAATGCCTTCAGCTTTGTTCTTCTTGCTCAAGATTGCTTTGTCTGTTTAGAGTCTTTTGTGATTCCACATAAATTTTAAGATTGTTTCTCTATTTCTACGAAAAATGTCATTGGAATTTTGATAAGAACTGTATTGAATTTATTGATTATTTTGGGTAGTATGAACATTTTAGCAGTTTTAGTTCTTCCAATCCATGAACAAGGAATTTTTTCATTTATCGTCTTCAATTTCTTTTACCAATGCCTTACAGATTTCACTATACATATCTTTCACCTCTTTGGTTTAATTTATGCCTGAGCATTTTCATGTTTTGAAAATAGGATTGTTTTATTGATTCTTTTAAAAATAGTTTGTTGTTAGTGTAACACTACTTTTTTAAAAAAATATAAATTAAGTTCTAGGATACACGTGCAGAACATGCAGGTTTGTTACACAGGTATAAATGTGCCTTGGTGGTTTGTTGCACTGATCAACCCATCATCTACATTAGGTGTCTCTCCTAATGCTAGCCCTCTCCTAGCCTCCCACCCACTGACAAGCCCCAGTGTGTGATGTTCTCCTCCCTGTGTCCATGTGTTCTCATTATTCAACTCCAACTTATAAGTGAGAACATGCGGTGTTTGATTTTCCGTTCCTGCGTTAGTTTGCTGAGAATGATGGTTTCCAGCTTCATCCATGTCCCTGCAAAGGACATGAACTCATCATTTTTTATGGGTGCATAGTATTCCATGGTGCTTATGTACCACATTTTCTTTATCCAGTTTATCATTGTTGGGCATTTGGGTTGGTTCCAAGTCTTTGCTATTGTGAACAGTGCTGCAATAGACAAACGTGTGCATGTGTCTTTATAGTAGCATGATTTATAATCCTTTGGGTATATACCCAGTAATGGGATAGCATGATTTATAATCCTTTAGGTATATACCCAGTAATGGGATTGCTGGGTCAAATGGTATTTCTGGTTCTAGATCCTTGAGGAATCGCCACACTGTCTTCTACAATGGTTGAACTAATTTACACTCCCACCAACATCGTAAAAGTGTTCCTATTTCTCCACATCTTCTCCAGCATCTGTTGTTTCCTGACTTTTTAATGATCACCATTCTAACTGGTGTGAGATGGTATCTCATTATGGTTTTGATTTGCATTTCTCTAATGACCAGTGATAATGAACTTTTTTTCATATGTTTGTTGGGCACATAAATGTCTTCTTTTGAGAAGTGTCTGTTTATATCCTTTGCCCACTTTTTGATAGGGTTGTTTGGTTTTTTTCTTGTAAATTTAAGATACTTGTAGATTCTGGATATTAGCCCTTTGTCAGATGGATAGATTGCAAAAATTTTCTCCCATTCTTTAGGTTGCTTGTTCATTCTGATGATAGTTTCTTTTGCTATGCAGATGTTCTTTAGTTTAATTAGATCCCATTTGTTGATTTTGGCTTTTGTTGCCTTTGCTTTTGGTGTTTTACACATGAAGTCTTTGCCCATGCCTATGTCCTGAATGGTATTTCCCAGTTTTCTTGTAGGATTTTTATGGTTTTAGGTCTTACATTTAAGTCTTTAATCCATCTTGAGATAATTTTTGTATAAGGCGTAAGGAAGGGTCCAGTTTCTGTTTTCTGCATATGGCTAGCCAGTTTTCCCAACACCATTTATTGAATAGGGAATCCTTTCCCCATTGCTTGTTTTTGTGAGGTTTGTCAAAATCAGATGGTTGCAGATGTGTGGTGTTATTTCTGAGGCCTCTCTTCTGTTCCATTGCTCTATATATTTGTTTTGGTACCAGTACCATGCTGTTTTGGTTACTGTAGCCTTGTAGTATAGTTTGAAGTCAGATAGCGTGATGCCTCCAGCTTTGTTCTTTTTGCTTAGAATTGTGTTGGCTATACAGGCTCTTTTTTGGTGCCATGTGAAATTTAAAGTAGTTTTTCTAATTCTGCGAAGAAAGTTAATGGTAGCTTGATTGGGATAGCATTGAATCTATAAATTCCTTTGGGCAGTATGGCCATTTTCACGATATTGATTCTTCCTATCCATGAACATGGAATGTTTTTCCATTTGTTTGTGTCTTCTCTCATTTCCTTGAGCAGTGGTTTGTAGTTCTCCTTGAAGAGGTCCTTCACATCCCTTGTAAATTGTACTCCTAGGTATTTTATTCTCTTTGTAGCAATTGTGAATGAGAGTTCACTCATGATTTGGCTATTTGTTTGTCTATTACTGGTGTATAAGAATGCTTGTGATTTTTGCATGTTGATTTTGTATCCTGAGAGTTTGCTGAAGTTGCTTATCAGCTTAAGGAGATTTTGGGCTGAGACGATGGGGTTTTCTAAATATGTAATCATGTCACCTGCAAACAGAGACAATTTGACATCCTTTCTTCCTATCTGAATACCCCTTATTTCTTTCTCTTGCTTGATTGTCCTGGCCAGAACTTCCAATACTATGTTGAGTGGGCGTGGTGAGAAAGGGCATCTTTGTCTTGTCCTGGTTTTCCAAGAAAATGCTTCCAGCTCTTGCCTATTCAGAATGATACTGGCTGTGGGTTTGTCATAAACAGCTCTTATTATTTTGAAATATGTTCCATCAATACCTAGTTTATTGAGTGTTTGTAGCATGAAGGGGTGTTCAATTTTATTGAAGGCCTTTTCTGCATTTATTGAGATAATCATGTGGTTTTTGTCGTTGGTTCTGTTTATCTGATGGATTACGTTTATTGATTTGTGTATGTTGAACCAGCCTTACATCCCAGGGATGAAGCTGACTAGCTCATGGTGAATAAGCTTTTTGATGTGCTGTTGAATTGTTTGCTAGTATTTTATTGAAGATTTTCACATCAATGTCCATCAGGGATATTGGCCTGAAATTTTCTTTTTTGTTGTTGTTGTGTCTCTGCCCTGTTTTGGTATCAAGATGATGCTGACTTCATAAAATGAGTTAGGGAGGAGTCCCTCTTTTTCTATAGTTTGGAATAGTTTCAGAAGGAATGATACCAGGTCATCTTAGTACCTCTGGTAGAATTTGGCTGTGAATCTGTGTGGTCCTGGAATTTTTTTGGTTGGTAAGCTGCTAATTATTGCCTCAATTTCAGAGCCTGTTATTGGTCTATTCAGAGATTCAACTTCTTCCTGGTTTAGTCTTGGGAGGGTGTATGTGTCCAGAAGTTTATCAATTTCTTCTAGATTTTCTGGTTTATTTGCGTAGTGGTGTTTATAATATTCTCTGATGGTAGTTTGTATTTCTGTGAGATCAGTGGTGATATCTCTTTATCGTTTTTTGTTGTGTCTGATTCTTCTCTCTTTTCTCCCTTTTCATAAAGCATTTCATGGATTCATTGACTTTTTGAAGGGTTTTTTGTGTCTGTATCTCCTTCAATTTTGCTCTGATTTTAGTTATTTCTTGTCTTCTGCTAGCTTTTGAATTTGTTTGCTCTTGCTTCTCTAGTTCTTCTAATTGTGATGTTAAGGTGTCAGTTTTAGATCTTTTCCTCTTTCTGATGTTGGCATTCAGTGCTATAAATTTTCCTCTAAACACTGCTCTAGCTGTGTCCCAGAGATTCTAGTACATTGTGTCTTTGTTCTCATTGGTTTCAAAGAACTTCTTTATTTCTGCCTTAATTTTGTTATTTACCCAGTAGTCATTCAGGAGCAGGTTGTTCAGTTTCCATGTAGTTGTGTAGTTTTGAGTGAGTTTCTTAATCTTGAGTTCTAATTTGATTGCACTGTGGTCTGAGAGACTGTTTTTTATGATTTCTCTTTTGCATTTGCTGAGGAGTGTCTTACTCCCAATTATGTGGCCAATTTTAGATTAAGTGTAATGTGGTTCTGAGAAGAATGCATATTCTGCTGATTAGGGGTGAAGAGTTCTGTAGATGTCTATTAGGTCTGCTTGGTCCAGAGCTGAGTTCAAGTTCTGAATATCCTTATTAATTTTCTGTCTCACTGATCTGTCTAATATTGACAGTGGGGTGTTAAAGTCTCCCACTATTATTGTGCAGGAGTCTGAGTCTCTTTGTAGGTCTCTAAGAACTTGCTTTATGAAACTGGGTGCACTTGTATTGGGTGCGTATATATTTAGGATAGTTAGCTCTTCTCGTTGCACTGATCCCTTTACCGTTATGTAATTCCCTTCTTTGTCTTTTTTGATTTAAAGTCTGTTTTATCAGAGACTAGGATTGCTACTGCTGCTTTTTTTTTTTTTTGGCTTTCCATTTGCTTGGTAAATATTCCTCCATCCCTTTATTTTGAGCCTGTGTGTGTCTTTGCACATGAGATGGGTCTCCTGAATACAGCACACTGATGGGTCTTGACTCTTTATCCAATTTATCAGTATGTGTCTTTTAATTGGAGCATTTAGCCCATTTATATTTAAGGTTAATATTGTTATGTGTGAATTTGATCATGTCATTATGATGCTAGCTGGTTATTTTGCCTGTTAGTTGATGCAGTTTCTTCATAATGTCAATAGTCTTTACAATACTGCAAAAACAGTACTGATTTTTTTATGTTGATTTATATCCTGAACTAGTTCATTAGTTTTAACAGTTTTTGGTGTAATATTTGGGGTTTCTATATATAACAATAGGTAATCAGTATACAAAGACCATTTCTTTCCTTCCTCCCTCCCTCCCTTTCTCTCTCTCTTTCTTTCTCTCTCTCTTTTGTTCATTCCGATTTGTATGCTTTTAATTTCTTTCTCTTGCCTAATTGCCATGGCTATAACTTCCAGTACTAGGTTGAATAGAAGTGGTGAGAGTGGGCATCTTTGCTTTGTTTCTGATCTGAGAGGGAAAACTTTCAAATTGATGGTCTCAGCTGTGGGGTTGTCATACATGGTCTTTATTGTGTTGTCATACATTCCTTATAACCAATTTGTTGAGACATTTCTTATGAAGAAATGTTGAATGTTTTTCAAATTCTTTTCCAATCTCAAAGTACCAGAATTCTTCCTGAGGTGTTTTTTTTTTTTTTTTTGGCAGGGTCTTGCTCTGTCACCCAGACTAGAGTGCAGTGGTGTGATCATGGCTCACTGCAGACTTGACCTTCTGGTCTCCGGGAATCCTGCCTCAGCCCCCTGAATAGCTGGAACTATGGAACTATGAGCATGCACCACCACACTTGGCTAATTTTTAAATTTCTGTAGGATAGGTGTCTCACTACATAGCCCAAGTTGGTCTTGAACTTCTGGGCTGAAGCAATTCTCCTGCCTTGGCTTCCCAAAGTGCTGGGATTAGAGGTATAAGCCACCATGCCTGGTCCTTTCATGAGTTTTTATGCTTGCAATTCAGATTAATAAGTGAATGACAGTGAGAATTCAATTCTCCAATGCCTACTCTCATAATCTAAAGAAAGCAAGGCAGAAGTGTTTTCCTGAAAGGAAGAATCTTTGTTTTTAGTTTTTTAAAGATTAGGTTTACTGGATGTCAGAAAAATATGTTTACATTAAGGCAACATTGAGTATTGATGATGGTATGTAAGTTCTTAGCTGTCAAGCCTCTTAAACAGTGTTCTCTGAATTTTACATATGTGAAAAGACATTAATCCTCTTAGACTTTGGGGTTGTTGTGTGAGGCCTAGGAGGAGCACACTAGCAGTGGCCAGTCTTCTTTAATCAAGAACAGCCTTATACATTCCATGTTATGTGTGCTATGATGTGAAAATATTTGGAAAACTCTCTCTTCCCCCATTGCTGCCAGACTTATGGTCTTTCTTTGTTCCCAGGTGGCTGATTTAGGTTCCAGGCAGAATGGAATTGGGTGCCCTGGAAGCCTGAGGTAGATTTGGTACTATGGAGGGTGCACTTGCTGATATGAAGTTTTATTTTATACAAATCCTGGAGAAGCTAAGTGAGGCCATGTCAGTGTTGCCAGAAGACATGAGAATCATGCCAGATCTCTGTGG
Organism: Homo sapiens; assembly: GCF_000001405.40. Classification (NCBI taxonomy): domain Eukaryota; kingdom Metazoa; phylum Chordata; class Mammalia; order Primates; family Hominidae; genus Homo; species Homo sapiens. The sequence goes on from NT_167247.2 coordinate 329,853, forward strand.
CTTAACATTGGAACATAGTGGTAAGTGCAGCTATATTTGTGTTTCTTAATAGTTGAAAGCCAGGTTTATATAAATAGGAAGAAAGAGTTTGCCATAGAATTTATGCTTTAGTTGGAGAAAAATGTAAAGTTGTTGATAAATTAGGCTGATTAAAAAATAATGTGAACACTTAAATTACCTTTAATGGAGTGCAGCCTTGAGAAGAAGATACCACGTGGTCCAAGTCTATATCAAATTTGAGTTTAAAATAGATACTTTCAGAAAAGAATCAAAAGGAAGAAAGTCTTAATGTTCACATTGAGTTAAGGTGATGGCTAGCTTTGGAACTGGAGTTCAGCCAGTAGAAGATGTGTTCAGGTCCTTTTAATCCCAAAAAGTGGATGCGAAATAACCATAAATATATGTCAGAAGAGTAAAAAAAGCCAGCAAGTTAAGATAGCAACAAAATATGGCTAAAATGAGCATTGCAATGTCCAGGAAAGCATAAACTACATGCAAAAAAGCTCAAGAATGGGATGACCAACTGAGCAAACAGTGAACTGAAAAGATATGTAAATTATTGTAACAAGTGCTAAATTATAAGTAAGGTCAGAGCAAATATTGAAACACTTGATGAATATTTTCTACTGCACTTGGAGAAGTTAAATTGATGTCAGGGACTCAGGGACTTAGAATTGGGGAGAATGAAGCAATCAGAAAGTAAGTACCAGTCAATCATCAGTCAAAAGGGGCTTTGAGGAAATTGATTTATGCTTCTGTAAAGACTTTTGATGGAGGAAGAAACAAAATATAAATTAAATTATTTGAACACATTATTAAAGGCTTTATTTGTTTTTAACTGATATACGTAATTGTTTAAGATGATGTAAAAATTTTCCAAGTTCGTTTACAATTTAAAGAGTTTGTATTGTTTAGAAGTCTGTAAAGGATGTGAGAGAAACACTGGGTAATTCTTCTTCATGTATTTTTATTTTCTTTTTTATGTAAACAACATAAATTTATTGCTTACAGTTCTGGAGGCTGGGAAGTTCAAGATCAAGGTACCAGCAAATTTCATTACCTGGTAAGCATTCATTTCTTATGGATGGTGCCTTCTGTGTGTCCGGTGTAAAGGGCAAAACAGGCTCCCTTTCCTCAAGCCTCTTGTCATTAAAGCCTGTAAAAATGACAGTAAAAGTATTCAGAATGGGTTAAGCAATTTGACCGTCAGGAAATTCAATTGAAAAGTGAGGTTCAAAACCTTCCTCAGAAAGTTAAAGTTCTAAATTGTATTGAGAAAATACAATAAAGATTCACAGAATATTTATATTAGAATGAATTAATTAAATACAGAACATTTTAAAGGCAACTAAAAAGATCAGCCATGCTCATTAAGTAACAGATACCTACAGAAAATGTCTGTCTTTGTCTTGCATTTAAAAATTGATATATCATAGTTATACATAGGCCAAACTTCTTTTTTTATTTATTATACTTTAAGTTTTAGAGTACATGTGCACAACGTGCAGGTCTGTTACATATGTATACATGTGCCATGTTGGTGTGCTGCACCCAGTAACTCGTCATTTAACATTAGATATAACTCCTAACGCTATCCCTCCCCCCTCCCCCCACCCCACAACAGGCCCTGGCATGTGATGTTCCCCTTCCTGTGACCATGTGTTCTCATTGTTCAATTCCCACCTATGAGTGAGAACATGCGGTGTTTGGTTTTTTGTCCTTGTGATAGTTTGCTGAGAATGATGGTTTCCAGCTTCATCCATGTCCCTACAAAGGAAATGAACTCATCATTTTTTATGGCTGCATAGTATTCCATGGTGTATATATGCCATATTTTCTTAATCCAGTCTATCATTGTTGGACATTTGGGTTGGTTCCAAGTCTTTGCTATTGTGAATAGTACTGCAATAAACATGCATGTGCATGTGTCTTTACAGCAGCATGATTTATAATCCTTTGGGTATATACTCAGTAATGGGATAGCTGGGTCAAATGGTATTTCTAGTTCTAGATGCCTGAGGAATCGCCACACCAACTTCCACAATGGTTGAACTAGTTTACAGTCCCACCAACAGTGTAAAAGTGTTCCTATTTCTCCACATCCTCTCCAGCACCTGTTGTTTCCTGACTTTTTTTTTTTTTTTTTTTTGAGACGGAGTCTCGCTCTGTCGCCCAGGCTGGAGTGCAGTGGCGCGATCTCGGCTCACTGCAAGCTCCACCTCCCGGGTTCACGCCATTCTCCTGCCTCAGCCTCCCGAGTAGCTGGGACTACAGGCGCCCGCTACCACGCCCGGCTAATTTTTTGTATTTTTAGTAGAGACGGGGTCTCGATCTCCTGACCTCGTGATCCGCCCGCCTCGGCCTCCCAAAGTGCTGGGATTACAGGCGTGAGCCACCGCGCCCGGCCTGTTTCCTGACTTTTTAATGATCGTCATTCTAACTGGTGTGAAATGGTATCTCACTGTGGTTTTGATTTGCATTTCTCTGATGGCCAGTGATGATGAGCATTTTTTCATGTGTCTTTTGGCTGCATAAATGTCTTGTTTTGAGAAGTGTCTGTTCATGTCCTTCACCCACTTTTTGATGGGGTTGTTTGTTTTTTTCTTGTAAATTTGTTTGAGTTCATTGTAGATTCTGGATATTAGCCCTTTGTCAGATGAGTAGGTTGCAAAAATTTTCTCCCATTCTGTAGGTTGCCTATTGACTCTGATGGTAGTTTCTTTTGCTGTGCAGAAGCTCTTTAGTTTAATTAGATCCCATTTGTCAATTTTGGCTTTTGTTGCCATTGCTTTTGGTGTTTTAGACATGAAGTCCTTGCCCATGCCTATGTCCTGAATGGTATTGCCTAGGTTTTGTTCTAGGGTTTTTCTGGTTTTAGGTCTAACATTGAAGTCTTTAATCCATCTTGAATTAATTTTTGTATAAGGTGTAAGGAAGGGATCCAGTTTCAGCTTTCTCCATATGGCTAGCCAGTTTTCCCAGCACCATTTATTAAATAGGGAATCCTTTCCCCATTGCTTATTTTTGTCAGATTTGTCAAAGATTAGATAGCTGTAGATATGTGGCGTTATTTCTGAGGGCTCTGTTCTGTTCCATTGGTCTATATCTCTGTTTTGGTACCAGTACCATGCTGTTTTGGTTACTGTAGCCTTGTAGTATAGTTTGAAGTCAGGTAGTGTGATGCCTCCAGCTTTGTTCTTTTGGCTTAGGATTGACTTGGCAATGTGGGCTCTTTTTTGGTTCCATATGAACTTTAAAGTACTTTTTTCCAATTCTGTGAAGAAAGTCATTGGTAGCTTGATGGGGATGGCGCTGAATCTATAAATTACCTTTGGCAGTATGGCCATTTTCACAATATTGATTCTCCCTACACATGAGCATGGAATGTTCTTCCATTTGTATCCTCTTTTATTTCATTGAGCAGTGGTCTGTAGTTCTCCTTGAAGAGGTCCTTCACATCCTTGTAAGTTGGATTCCTAGGTATTTTATTCTCTTTGAAGCAATTGTGAATGGGAGTTCACTCATGATTTGGCTCTCTGTTTGTCTGTTATTGGTGTATAAGAATACTTGTGATTTTTGCACATTGATTTTGTATCCTGAGACTTTGCTGAAGTTGCTTATCAGCTTAAGGAGATTTTGGGCTGAGACGATGGGGTTTTCTAGATATACAATCATGTCATCTGCAAGCAGGGGCACTTTGACTTCCTCTTTTTCTAATTGAATACCCTTTATTTCTTTCTCCTGCCTGATTGCCCTGGCCAGAACTTCCAACACTATGTTGAATAGGAGTGGTGAGAGAGGGCATCCCTGTCTTGTGTACATAGGCCAAAATTCTTAAAGAAAAATTGGAAAAAATTACTTGTTCCTATCAAAGACTCACTATTTCCCATATTTAAAAAGCTTATAGTTATTGACTTATAGTTCAGTTGAACCTCAATGAGGTTCAATGAGTTAGGAAAATCCATATGAAAGACCAGAGATCAGCTAATTTTCCCCACAAGAGCCAGATGGAAAATAGTTCAGGTTTTGCAGGCCAGGAAGCAAAATTTAAATATTATGAAATAATTAAATATTAAATATTATGAAAATAAGTAAATAAAATTTAAATATTATGAAACTATAAATATTAAATATTAGGCAACAAGACAGAAAAATTCCCACATAATGTTCTATTGGCTAAAAAAAAAAAACCCTGACAATAGTGAATGCTAGAAAAAAAATGCAGAACAAGGGGAACTCTTATTTATTACTGATGAGAATGCAAAATGTTAAAATCACTTTGAGGAACCACTTGGCAGTTTCTTATAAAGCTTAAAATAAACTCAACATATGACCCAACCCCATCATTCTTCATAGAACTAGAAAAAACAATCCTAAAATTCATGTGGAACCAAAAAAGAGCCCACATAGCCAAAGCAAGACTAAGCAAAAAGAACAAATCTGGAGGCATCACATTACCTGATTTGAAACTATACTATAAGGCCATAGTCACCAAAACAGCATGGTATGGGTATAAAAGTAGGCACATAGACCCATGGAACAGAATAGAGAACCAAGAAATAAAACCAAATACTTATAACCAACTGATCTTTGACAAAGCAAACAGAAACATAAAGTGGGGAGAGGACACGCTATTCAACAGATGTTGCTGGGATAATTGGCAAGCCATATGTAGGATAATGAACCAGGATCCTCATCTCTCACCTTATACAAAAATCAACTCAAGATGGATCAAAGCTGAGTGCGGTGGCTCACGCCTGTAATCCCAGCACTTTGGGAGGCCGAGGCAGGTGGATCACGAGGTCAGGAGATCAAGACCATTCTGGCTAACATGGTGAAACCCCGTCTCTACTAAAAATACAAAAAATTAGCTGGGCATGGCAGCGGGCGCCTGTAGTCCCAGCTACTCGGGAGGCTGAGGCAGGAGAATGGCGTGAACCCAGGCAGCAGAGCTTGCAGTGAGCTGGTATTGAGCCACTGCACTCTAGCCTGGGGGACAGAGCAAGACTCTGTCTAAAAAAAAAAAAAAAAAAGATGGATCAAAGACTTAAATCTAAGACCTAAGACCTGAAACTATAAAAATTCTAGAAGATAACATTGAAAAAAACCTTCTAGACATTGGCTCAGGCAAAGATTTCTGACCAAGAACCCAAAAGCAAATGCAACAAAATCCAAGATAAATAGGTGGGGTTTAATGAAACTAAAGAGCTTTGGCACAGCAAAAGAACAGTCAGCAGAGTAGATTACTCACAAAGTGGGAGAAAATTTTTCACAATCTATACAATCTGTACATCTGACAAAGGACTAATAATCCAGTATTTACAAGGAACTCAGACAAATTAGCAAGAAAAAATCAAACAATCCCATCAATAAGTGGGCTAAGGACATGAATAGACAATTCTCAAAAGAAGATATACAAATGGCCAGCAAACATATGAATAAATGCTCAACATCACTAATGATCAGAGAAATGCAAATCAAAACTGCCATGAGATACCAACCTTACTCCTGCAAGAATGACCATTATAAAAAATTTTTAAAAAATATATATTGGCATGGATGTGGTGAAAGGGAACACTTCTACACTGCCGATGGGAATGTAAACTAGTACAACCACTATGGAAAACAGTGTTGAGATTCCTTAAAGAACTAAAAGTGGAACTACCATTTGATCCAGCAATCCCCTTACTGGGTATCTACTCAGAGGAAAAGAAGTCATTATACGAAAAATATACTTGCACATGCATGTTTATAGCAGCACAATTTGCAATTGCAAAAATGTGGAACCAGTCCAAATGCCCATCAATCAACGAATAGATAAAGAAACTGTGGTGTATATATATATATATATATATATATATATACACACACAATGGAATACTACTCAGCCATAAAAAGGAATGAATTAATGGCATTCACAACAACCTAGATGGGATTGGAGACTATTATTCTAAATGAAGTAACTCAGGAATGGAAAACCAAATATTGTATGTTCTTGCTCATAAGAGGGAGCGAAGCAATGAGGATGCAAAGGCATAAGAATGATACAATGGACTTTGGGGACTGGGTGGGGGAAAGGGTAGGAGGGGAGGGAGGGATAAAAGACTACAAATTGAGTTCAGTGTATACTGCTCAGGTGGTGGGTGCACCAAAATCTCACAAATCACCACTAAAGAACTTATGTAACCAAATACCACCTGTTACCTAAAAACCTATGGAGATAAAAAATTTAAAAAAACATTCAGCTACAAACCTCTTTTGCTACACTCATTGTTTAGTATATGACACATTTTTGCATGATTCTGTTATATAGGTTTTAATAGTAGGTAATTAGGACAGTGGGTAATACTTATCATTCATTCATTTATTTAAAAAATACTTATTTAGAGCCCATTCTCTCAATACAGGTCAGTACTATGAAGGAGAGGTACACAGTGAAATCAGGCCTAGTCCTTACAGACATGTTGGTATGCCAGGGAGTCAACTTTCCTCCAAAAGAGTGATGTTTCCTTGTCTCCAACAATGGCAAAACTATAATATATAATATTTCTTTATCAGCGGTTTGCACATTGTGTGTTAATAGATTTTGTTCTTGTCATTCAGAAGAGCACAGTGGAAATACATGAAGGATGGGCAGATGTGTGAAGGCCTCAAATGAATGTATGTAGTTGTTAGAAAAACAAATGTTTTTCTTAAACACAAGTTGAAAGACAGGGGAGCAGAGGAAGTATAAGAAAAATTATGGATTTATAATGAGGAGAGTTGATGTTATGGATAAAGTCAACAGAACACTGCCTTCTTACATCATTATCCAACTTTCTACTTTGTCACCTCTATCTCAAAATTGACGGTCTGATAGCTAGTTTATTTTATATTTGCCCCAGGTTGTGCTCTACCTTCTTTTTCCATTTTCCTTCTGCTGAATATTCTGATTTTAAATGATGAGACGATTTAATCCTTCGGTTACCTACCAAATACATCTAATTTTCTCATTCTAGGTAGGTTGTCTTCCCATTGAAGGGTGAGTGGCTCTCAATATTAAGAGACAACATAGAAATTTCTGAAGATTTTAACTTCTCCATCTGATAACCTAGAAATAATTACTTCAGTCAAATACCTCAGAAGGAAGAAATCCCATTAAGATCGATAGGAAAGAGTCAGATATTATTTTTGAATTATTTTATTTGTAAAGGATCAGTGAATTTGTGGTTGAGAGGGTCAGTTATGGAATATGAGATATTAACCTATTTGATCTTGCTGGCAATCCATAAAAAGTTAATTTGCAAATAAAAGATTAGCCTTTAAATCACATTCATAATAACAAGAAGGTAAACTGCAGTCTATATTACTCATATATATTTTTCAAAGTAACACATAAAATGATAGGACTTGATTTTTGCTCTGAGTAAATGAGTCAGTCTATTAACATTTATTTATTGCCCACTTTTTAGATGCCTATGGATATTTCTAGATAAATACAAAGGAATATAAGGACATAGTTCTCACTACCATGCAAATTGCAGACAATCTGAGGATTAGGATTCACACTTGAAATGATATCCAACAAACCCCATTGTGTGGTACAAAAGCATATATGTAGACAGGGTGGGTAGTAAAGAATGCTAACAATTTTGGAGGAGGTTAAATCAACATGTAATTTTAGAACAGGAGATCTTCTGACCTGTATATGAAGAATGTGGAGTATAAAAATAATTACTTTTGTTCTCTTCCTGGTGATACAAAAAGACAAGAAGCCTCCTCATTGCCCCTTTTATGTCCCTGTTGCTCAAAGTGTAGATAAAAGGGTTAAGCATAGGAGTCACCAAACTGTAGAACAGGGACATGAATTTGTTTTTGTCCTGGGAGTTGGCAGAGGGCTGTACATACATGCTAATTACAGGCCCATAGAGGAGAGATACAATATGAGAACCACATGTGTTGAAGACCTCCTTCTTTCCCCCTGAGGACTGAATCCTCAGCACAGTAGCTACAATGAATCCACAGTAAACAAAGATAATTGATTAGAGAACGAGGGACTAAAATATCCTCACAATGGAGAGCATAGATACATTGAATGTGGTGTCAAAACATGATATCTTGATCATCGCTGAGACCTCACACAGAAAGTCGTCCACCTTGTTACCGCCTAGTGGCAGCTGGACGGCAAGGGATGACTGAAGTAGAGTTGGCCAAACTGCTTAGCCATGCCATGGCCACTAGGAGGACACAGAGTTGCTGATGCATGATAGCTGGGTACCTCAAGTGTTTGCAGATGGCAATGTAAGGATCCAAAGACGTCACAGCTAAAATGATGCATTTGGTGCTCCCCTAAAATATCCCCTGGGTACCACAATAATTGAGATGTTGTCCACCAGTATGCAGAGATAAGCAACAAGCCCCATTATGAAGAGAAACATTTCCGGCTAGGGGTGGTCAAAGAAACCCCAGAGAATGAAGATCTTTCGAGCAATTGCATTGCCCAGATTCCTGTCATTGCTCTTGTTGGTGGATTTGAGGGAAAGGAAAGGCTACTTTAGTATTGAATTTTTCTGATACTCCACTTATTCAGTTAAGTAAAATAAACTGAGTTATGAAGGGGTTTTCTCTGTGATGTAACTAAACTGATGTGATTTGACACTTGTAAGCATGAAAAATTTTATCTAAAGGCCAAAATGTTACCTTTCTAGTGCCTCTAAAAGGAAGATCAACAAATCTCTGTATCTTACCCAAGAAATGCAATATAGCAAACTTTTACAGAATAATGATTAAGTAATGGGAAACATAATTAATCTTATATTAGAAAAATGAATCAGATGGAGAAATGAATAATTTTAAAGAATGCCCAAGAACTACCCATGCTAACTAACACGTGTTAATTTCTTTCATCCAAAATCTGTTGGCCCTGGTCATGTTCTGGTTCAATTTGTGAGTTGATGTAGGTGAGTTCAGAACTCACTGAGCTCCACGTGGATCAGTCTGATTTGCATAGAAACAACATAGTGCTATTCCTTACCTCTTCTTCCCAAATCCTGGAATGACAATCGCCAACATAAAACTTTTGTCATAAAAGGAAGCACACAGCTGAAAGGAAATGGTTCCTTGCAACACGTTCAGTACTTACAAGACAAGATAATTCATTGCACAGCCAAGTGATATAAGGTCATTAAAGTATCAGCAGTTATACAGTATGATGTATGTTAGTGCTTTTCACACTGTGAGTTGTAATCTATTACGCAGTTATATACTATTTTATTGATTTATTTTACTTATTCTCATCACTCATTTTATATATGTGTTTGTATGACCTGGATTCTGATGTACAATATATTCCTTACTATAGGTAATGGTAAAAAATTTGGACAATACTGGCATAGTAGAAAAGAAACAAGAATGATATTAGAAAATCTAGATTTAGTCCACTTCCCAATTACTAATACATGTACATTTTAGGTCTTGCTTAAATATTCAGAAACTTCTTTATCTATCTTGCTCCGTTGTGGAGATTAATTAGCACCATATGTGTGAACACGCTTTATTAAGTCCAATACTCAATGTTGGGTTGGTTATTTTTCATGAAATAAAGTTCCCTGTTTGATTTTAAGTCTATATCTGATAGTTAATTTTTCTTTGTATCCAAATATTAACCATGTCCTTATATTCCCATAAGAAGTCTTAGAAGGGTTGTTTTTTCTACCATTTTATTTCCCTACATTACTCAGATCCCTTGCCTTGAATCTGATGTTAATGATTTCTAGATTTTAATATCAGTACACATATGTTTTTAATCAGTGGAAATGCTCACAAATGCAAACAGTACCATAGATTATTTTTCAAAAACATGTTTCAATGTTTTAAATTATAATGATTAGTATTAGTATTAATAGGTGTCAATTTATTTATACTTTTTTTAACTGCTCCTTGCCTAGCAGGGCTATCCTATAGGCAGTGTGCCCACAGTAGCCTTTTTTAAAATAGTTTTTTTAGTATGCAAATTTTCATAAGGAGATCACAACATGCATGTGGTTGTATAAAAAGATTAAATCAATCAAGCTAAATAGATCATTTCTACTCATATGCAACAGTTGCCTAAATCAGTGTTGATATTTTTTAGGGGTACCCTCTTTTCTTGCAAAAAAGAACATTAATCTTTTTCTTCCATCAGAATTCAGTGTTAATTGGGGATAAAGATTGAATGTTCTTTCTGTATTCAGTGGTTTTATGTCATATCAGAGGTCTTTAATAGTTATTTATTTGATTGAAAGGATCCCAAATCTTTTGATTTATTGTTTATTTATTTATTTATGCTTTAACTTTTAATTAAAATGCTTAGGATACAGATTGACTTTCTTTTGTAAATGACTGTTTTACTTTTTCTGAAATAGGACATACATGCACTCTGATAAAACAGAATGAAACATCTTAATTCATGAGAATTCCTGTACAAGGCGCTGATCCTGTGTTTAGAGCTGAGCTCCTCACAGCAGCTGCCCTACGTAGAACCCACAGTTTTCTAGCTTGCAACAAAGTTACTAGGGACAAATAGGGAAAAAAAATCCGAAACTAAAAGTAAGAAAACCAACATGGAAGCAATCATACTTCTCATGTCTCTGATAAGAGAAGTATGGGGAACCTTTAACCAAAGGAAAATTTAAAAAAAATGCAAGTTAACTATCTAGTTCATTCACTGTTAGCTAGATTTGTTCAGTTAAGGCTTTAACCCCTTTCCAAACAATTTTATCTTAATCCAGCTATGCTTGCTAATAAATGAAATGCATGCACTTCCCAGAAATATACTTCACTGAGCCTCTGCATTCAGTACCTGGCAGTGAAAAAGTATGTTTCCCGAACAAGTCAGTACTGAAGACTGAGAACTCCAACTAAATAACTATACTCTCTCCCCAATAATATGTTATCCACATTTTCCCTACCCTCACATTAGAATAAAGATATCCTCCTAACTTTTCATCTCCTATCTCCTGTCTTTTCCTAGGAGATCTTATCTTTTGATCTTTTACTACAAGGGTAGAATTTAGGTTAAGATCATAAAAATCCAATTTCACATGTGACACTAAGAAAATGGAATGCTATAAAATCAATCCTCATCACCGTGGTAGGGATGCTGTTGCTTTTATCCTGAGTCTTTACTGCCAATAAGTGATGCTGCTTCCAAAGGAACAGCTCTACAGAAAGTTTTTGAGTTAGTGTTTCCCCCCAGCTTATTTCTACAATGGGGAAAGGCAATTTCATATTAAAAAAATCCACACAAACACACCTGGAAAAGCTACAGATGTTAACCTTTACTTTAAACACAGCAACGTAGATATCTAAGGAGATAAGATGTAAGACAAAGAGCTCAGGAAAAATCCAATAGAGACCAAATTCTGCAAATGGAAATTTTAAAGCCCAGTGAGTAAATTTTTCCTGCATTCAGACAAGTGCTACAATACATTTAAGTCCTCAACTCCCAGAATTAAGAGCCCTTAAGCTGTTAACTTTGTCCTGTCTTCCTATTCAGAAAAATTTTCCTCTAGAATCTGTGCAAAAGTAACTGACACACCTGCAGTATGTGACAACATAAGAGATGTTCTCAACTTTTTCATGAGGTGAAAGTTACTTTTTATAACTGAAAATGAAAAAGGAAGGTGCTATAGAGGGAAATAAAATTTCACCAAAGTATAAAAGTAAAGACTGGCTGAAACCTATAACTTTATAAATAAGAATAATAACAGTAACTTACACTATAATTAACTGCTCAATAGTGAATGATCTGCTACACATTCCTTGAGAAGGAATGACCCTAGCTTACCACAGTGGAAACCTGCCGCAATTACAAGGCCAGGATTCTGCCCCTTTTCTGGTTCTCTGTTCACAAGGTAATGCCACCTTCTCCAAGGCAGTTAGAGAGACAGGTGAGCTCAGGGGAGCTTCTCTCACCAACCTGCTAACTCAGCAGGAGTGAGTTTACCCAAATGAGCTCTGGCCTCCAATGTGTATCTGTTCATAATTTTATGAAGTATCTAAATGTCATTCATTAGTTTAAAAAAGAATAGAAAACTCTGGACTAAGTAAATTTTGAACTCGAAAAGTTAGAAGGGGTATCAATTATATTAACAACACTTTCTTTAAAAATAGAATCACTTTCTTTTGAAATCAACCAGAGTGGTGAGATGTGTTTTTCTTTTCAGGTGCCCCATAATGGCACACAGCTTTACTCAGCAACCCCTGCCAGCTTCCAAGCCCCAGGATACTGACCTGCACCAGCACATGGGGCAGCATTACCTCCCCAACAGTGTGGAGAAGAGAACATTTCACCACTGGGTGATGAGAGTAGACAGTGACTCTTGGCTTCTCAATGCTAGACATGATTGGAGACCTTTCATTGTTCTATTAGAAAAGTCCATGAAGAAGCTGTGAACAGGATCAGTCCAGAGGAGAAAAACTCTTATTTTCTCTGTCCAAACATCAGTCAATACATTGGGAGAGCCAGCAGAATCCCTCGCCCTAGCCTTGCCTCTTGAGCACACTGCACATGAACACTTCAGTGGGGTGAGCGTTCAGCTCCTAAAGGGCCATGTTCCTCTTTCCTGTGGTCTGTCCAGAAAGCCCAAATATCTCAAAGAGTTTTTCTTCACTTATTGCATTGTTCTGTCTATTTTGTTACCCAATATAAGGATTGGCACATTGGATATTATTTCATCAGTCATTAAAGCATTAAGCTCAACTTTAGATTCCATGAGGCCAGAATGATCTGCAGAATCCACCAGAAAAACAATCTCATTAATTGCTTGGAGATAATTTTTTCAAACCTGACATGCTTGCTTGTGTCCACCAAGATCAAGAGTTGTAAAAGTCATTCCAGCAATTAATAGCTTTTCTGATGTCGGATGTAGTGTTGGAACATGTTGACCCAATCTGTCATCTTTGAGCATGTGAAGAAGAGTGGTTTTGCCTGCGTTGTCCAAACCGAAAAATACAAGTTTTCCAAATTTCTTGTAGAGTCCTAGGAACTGGAGCACACTGCTGAAGCCATTGTAGATCCACTCAAAGAGGAAAGACATTATTCATGCTTATTATGGCCTGAAGGGCTCCTCCAGCAAAGGTGGGTGGCCCAGGCCCTCCCTCAGAGCACACCCCAAATATTTTCAAATATGAAAACCTACTTACTCTTTAGAGGTAAGGAAGGTACTTTAAAAAATTTATTTTATTTTATTTAAGTTCTGGGATACATGTGTGGGATGTGCAGGTTTGTTACATAAGTAAACGTGTGCCATGGTGGTTTGCTGCATCTATCAACCCATCACGTATGTATTAAGCCCAGCATGCATTAGCTATTTTTCCTGATGTTCTCCCTCCCCTCTCCACCCCCAGACAGGCCCCACTGTGTGTTGTTCTCCTCCCTGTATCCATGTTTTCTCATTGCTCAGCTCATCATTCCATGAGTGAAAACATGCAGGGTTTGGTTTTCTGCATAATGGTTCCTGCATAATGGCTTCCAGCTCCATCCATGTCCCTGCAAAGGACACGATCTTGTTCTAAAGGTACTTTAAAAAAAGTACTTTATAGGGTTGCCACTCACTCTATAAAGCTGTGAAACTTTGTTCTCTGTACAGATAATAGAGTTGAAATTTCTTGGTAAGGGTCATTATAGCAATTCCTTAGTGGGTATGCTTCCCTCTAACTTCCTTGCCATAATAAAATGAAATGATAAATTTTGGCACCTGTTATTTATAATGGACTCAGGTCTAAGAGAAGCCAAGGAAACTGAATCTGCCTTAACAATTTTATAAAAATTTCCTTGGATCACAAGGAGGAAATTAAGATTATTATTTTAGGTGCCAAGATCTAATTTTCTTTTAGTTATAGTTTTTCTCAAGATATTATTTCTTTAGATTTCTGCTACCATAGAGCCATCATAATCCTAGTTCCACATACAGACAAAAGAAGTCTTCAATAATTTCTTCCACAATAACCCAACACAGTATAGACTTTTTACCTTCCATTGACTACATTAAAGTTCCTCATTTTATTTAAACCATAAAAACATTGTGTCAAGAAGATATTAACATACATTAATGTTATTAAAACATGATTAAAAATCATGGAATCTGGAATTTTGAAAATATGGGTCCTGAAAACTTTTGGCCATGGGCTTGTTTTTAAAGTAATTGCTTTTTTCACCCATGGTTCACAATTAGCAGCAGATCTAGCAATCTGGAATCCTTCTAGCCAAGTTCACACTGATCATCTCAGGCTTGTTCTTTGCTCCCACTTTTGTTTTCATCATTTGCTGCATTCTATAACTATATTCAGCTTCTGGTCCTTTATTTTTTAAAACAATATTTAATTGACAATAAAGATTGTATATATTCAAGGTGTGCAGTGTGATGATTTGATATACGTATACCCTTTGTTTTTATTTCTTTTCTGTCTGAATCCACTCCCACCCAATTCATTATTGACATTAATGAATACATTTGACTTATTCTCGGTAACCCTCAGCTTTATGTAGGGATACAGTATATATATATATATATTTTTTCCCTATTATAGCTTTAATTTTAAAACATGATCCTTTCTGATGGTATTAGTTTCCTTACATCATCCTGCTGGTGTGGAAGTGAAAAGTGAATGATAAATTCTTACTACACAGTTAATCTAGTTAATGAAACTATCATTCTCAGCAAACTAACCCAAGAACAGAAAACCAAACACTGCATGTTCTCACTCATAAGTGGGAGTTAAACAATGAGAACACATGGAACAGGGAGAGGAACATCCCACACTGGGGCCTGTCAGGGATGGAGGACTGGGGGAGGGATAGCATTAGGAGAAATACCTAATGTAGATGACAGGTTGGTGGGTGCAGCAAACCACCATGGCACATGTATACCTATGTAACAAACCTTCACATCCTGCACATGTACCCCAGAAAAACTGTAATAATAAAAAAAGGTAAAATAGCGATATAAAATAGAAATTTATGAGTATATACTGATAAAAATATAAAAAATGAATACATGAAGGGGGAAAAGGGAAAACTCTTAATGGCACATCAATTAATAAATATAGAGGGCATACTAGGATTGGAGAATTATTAATAGATGTTAAAATTAGTGGGTGAAAGTTTAAGACATTTACATAGTTATGCTGTCTGCCACAAATTACTTATTAATTTCTCAGGAAAAAGGCATAATGAGATCTGGGGGACACCATGTTAGTCAAGTGACTAAAGTTAACAGCATCGATTTTAAGACAAACTATCCTTATACACTTTTCTGAAATGTTGCATCATTATTGGCTCCTGAATGGGAGAAAATATAAAGAACATTTTGGAGATAATTAACAAGATCTGAATATGAACTATTGATTACATAATAGTATTATATGACTGTAAAATGTCCCAGTTTTTATGATTGTACTGGCTATGTATGGAAGTTAATGTCCTTAGCAACTATACACTAAAGTGTATGTAGTAATAAAAAGGTTGGGAAAAATTTCACAGATATGAAAACTACATTTATATATTACATATGTGTAAAAGTAAGGCAAATGTAAATGAATGATGACTCTGGAAAAGGGTATTTAAAGTTCTGTATTATACTTGCAACTTTAAAAATTACATTAAAAATACATTATAAATGTAAAATGTAGTAAACTACATTAAATAAGAAGATGACAATAAAAAGAACACTTGTGGTTATGATACTTCCTGCCAGATCAAGGCCTTAGCATCTACTGTTTTGTCTACTCTGAAGAATTTACTACCTCACTTATAGATCTGAGCCTAAATGACACTTCCCTAGAAGAGCTTTCCTTGAACCTTTCCTGGTTTAAACTAATCACCCATCCATTTTATTCATGAAGCCTTGTCATTTTTACTTTATAGTACTTAGTACAACTTGTAATTACATGTTTAGTATTATTATTTGTTTTCTTTCTCCCACTAGACTATAAAGTTTGTGAGGGAAGGAATTGTGTCTGTCTTATTCACTAACAAATACTCGGCAAATAGCAAAATCTGTATGTATAGTAAGCGATTGAAAAACATTAGGCAAATTTATAACTATTTTAATATCTGTATATACTATATATCTATATATAATATCTTTGCTCTGGATGTGCACTTAGGAAGGCAGAGAAAATTTAAGTGTCTCTGATTTAGGTGGTATGTGATAATAATGTAGATACAAGTAATATAAAAATATTTTAGAACATTGATGGTGATTCAAATTTTAGAGCTCAACCCATCTTATTTTTGTTATTTAAGTTACTAATGCCCCCCAAAGTATAAATATTTATAAAATTATTTTTAAGAAGACTTTGGGAAATTATTAATGGTAAGCTTGAAGGTTGGAGTAGATATTTCTAAAATTAGTTGCCAAATTTATAAATACATTAATAAAAATTTCACTATCAATAATTTTTATTTCAAATAAAATTCAACTTTAGGTTATTATGGCTTTAAGATAGTGTCTAATGGGAAGCAAATAAACATTAATGCAAGACTTTTCAAGGTGAAATAGACTTAGAGCACCAGTTTTATGATGTTTAGACTTTTTCCTAATACTTAAGAAATTGTATGATGAAATCAGAAAATACAGAAAAATAAGAAGCCTGGAATAAAAATTTCCTGATATCCTGTCACTTACCTCACCACAGTTAGCTTGGTGAACTTATTTCTAGTGTTTTCTTACACATATAGGTATACATAAAATTAGGGTCATGTTCTAAGTGTAGAATCGTTTCTTGAGTTTTCTCCACCACTTAACAGTGAGTATTTCTCCATAATATTATTTTTTTTAAAAAAAATGGCCAATTAACATATGCTGGTAAACAAGTCCATCATAAAGGCTTAAACCAACAAATATTTCATTTTTGCTTATGTTTTGTGTTTATTGAATGTTGCTAGGGACTTGTCCATGTCATTGTGCATTAGGGATCCAAACTGATGAAGTAGACACTATCCAAAGTTCTCTAGATTGTTGTGATAGAGGGAAATAAAAGTTGCAAAACACACTCTGCCCTTAAAATGTCTTCCCAGAAGTTAAACAATCACTGTAACCACTGGGCAGTTCTTGTGAGGCGTTCCAAATGTGAGTTTGGAAATGTCCCTATATCCCACTCATTGAAAAGTAGCTCCTCCATCCATTGTTCTTCATAACCCTCGGGTTCCACTCAGTTGTTAGGTTCATTATCTGCCTTCTAAGTTATTGCAGGTGATAGTTTATGAAATGTTTCCTTATTGTATAACATGGATCACTTTATCTCCCTTCCTCCCTCCCTCCCTTCCTCCCTCCCTTCTCTTTTTCCTTCCTTCCTTCCTTCCTTCCCTTTTTCCTTCCTTCCTTCCCTTTTTTTTCTTCTTTCCCTTCCCTCCCTCCCTCTCTCTTTCTCTTTCTTTTCTTTCCTTTCTCTCTTTCTTTCTTTCTCTTTCTTTTCTTTCTTTTTTCTCCTCTTTCTTTCACCCTCCCTGTCTTTCTTTCTTCTTTCTTTCTTTTTCTTTCTTTCTCTCTTTCTTCTCTTTCTTTCTTTTTTTTGAGACAGGGTCTTCTCTGTCTGTACTCTGCAGTGGTGTGATCTTGGCTCCCTGCTGCCTTAACCTCCCAGGCTCAGGTGATCCTTCTGCCTCAGCATCCCCTAGTAGCTGGGACTACAAGTGTTTGCTCCTACACCCAATGAATTTTTGTATTTTTTTAGAGATGAGTTTTCACTACTTTGCTCAGGCTTGTCTTGAACTCCTGAGCTCAGGCAATCTGCCCACCTTGGCCTCCCAAAGTGCTGGGATTACAGGTGTGAGCCACCAAACCTGGCACCATAATTTCAATCTCTCTCATTTTTTATTAGACTTTTACTTTAGGTTCAGGGGTACATGTGCAGGTTTGTTACGTAGGTAAATCGTATTTCATAGGGTTTGTTGTATAGACTATTTCACCACCCAGGTGATAAGCATAGTATATGATAGGTAGTTTTTTAGTCCTTAAAAAACTAAACCACCCTCAAGTAGGCCTCAGAGTCTACTTTTCCCTTCTTTGTGTTCATGTGTACTCAGTGTTTAGTTCTCACTTATGAATGAGAGTGTGAGGTATTTGGTTTTCTGTGCCTACGTTACTTTGCTTAAGAAAATGGTCTTCAGCTCCATCCATGTTCCTGCAAAAGGCATCATCTAATTCTTTTTCTGTGGCTGCTTAGTATTCCATGGTGTATATGTAGCACATTTTCTTTAGCCAGTCTACCCCAGGAGAGGCCGGCAGACAAGGGAGCACTCAGATTAGACTGGTCCCATCCCACAGGTAAGATAGCCCTGCTCCGTTCAGGTCTGGCAGTTACCATAGGCTGAGACCACCTAGAGGAGCATGGTGAGCTTTGGGGGAATGGGCGTCTCTGGCCATGCTCCACTGCAGCCGTTCCTGTGTCAGACCCTCTGGGCTTTTCACAGGCTGAAGTCCTGTCCTTGCCACCTTTCCAAATAGCTCTCCCTGCCAGCTCAAGTGTCCGCGGGGTCATGGGGTCTCCTGCAGTTGGGATTCTGGAGGTCTGTGGCGAGAGTGGCCACTCCTCGTGTGTTCAACGGACCTCTTCCCCAGGAGTCACTGCGGGCCAAGAACATGGGCCAGAAACGAGTCCGGGTACTCTGCAACTCCGTGCAAAGTTCCGAGGTTTCTCACCCTCCAGCCCAGGTTCTATGTCCTCCCTCTGTCCACCCTCAATGCCTTCCCTCCGAAGATCGGCTCGGAGTATGCCAGTCTTCCTGATATCCTGGTCTGTTGTGGAAGATGTTCTTCCTGGCTGTGTCACTGACCATCTTGGCCCCTCTCAGTTTCAGGCTTTACTATCATATCCCTCATCATCTGCCATGTGATCCTTTTGCCAGTGCCTCATATTTTAATTTCCTAACATTTGTTTCAGGCTGATTGAGAACCTACCTGGAACATTGTTTTGATTGCCAGAGGGAAAGAGAACATGGCAGAGTATGTACTAGATTTTGAAGTCATCAAAAAATAACCCACATCATTTCTCTTCACATTTTATTGGCAAATCATATTAAACAGCCAGGTCTGCATTCGATAGGACAGGGATGTGCAATTTTACCATCTGCCTAGAAGGGGAGAAAAAATAAAATATTTATAAACATTCCTAATGTATTCAATTTATGAAAAATACTCTACTTTCAAAATACTCAAGGAAATAACAAATAGGAACTTGATAATGTTTCTGCTTCTAAAATTGGCATATTCATCAAAAGATGAAACTCTCAGAGTTTGCAAAAGCTCGTGAAGCAACCATTCTCATTTGCTATATACAGTGATCTATCTGGGAATGTGGAATGTTATAAAATTTCTACAGCACAATTTGACCATATCTATTAACTCTTAGATCTTCTAAGAAATTTATAATTAGAGCCAGTAATTCAGTTTTTCAGAATATAAACTGACATTTAGACACAAATTCATATTGAATTATTGGCAGTAGTAGTAACAATAATCAAAACAAGGAGTGTAAATATGTTCAACAATAGGAAAGTGGTTAAATAGATTTTAATACACTTCCTTGGTGAAATTAAATTTGCAGCTTTTTTTTTTTTTTTTTTTTTTGAGATGGAGTCTCGCTCTGTCGCCCAGGCTGGAGTGCAGTGGCGCAATCTCGGCTCACTGCAAACTCCGCCTCCTGGGTTCACGCCATTCTCCTGCCTCAGCCTCCCGAGTAGCTGGGACTACAGGCGCCTGCCACCATGCCCGGCTATTTTTTTGTATTTTTAGTAGAGACGGGGTTTCACCGTGTTATCCAGGATGATCTCGATCTCCTGACCTCGTGATCCACCCGCCTCGGCCTCCCAAAGTGCTGGGATTACAGGTGTGAGCCACCATGCCCGGCCCAATTTGCAGCTATTTCAATTATGTTTTAAATACCAGAAAACATAGGAATATTTTCTGATATAATGCACACGAAAAAACGCAAACTCCGCTGGTAGTGAGTTGGGAGAAGTGCATAAAGGTAGATTGGGTAACAACAGAGATCCAGGTAAAAGGTGGATCCCTTTGTGTTCTTTCATTTTTTGTGTTTTCTGAAGATATGATCGATATAGGAAAAATGATTCCCATTAACATTTCTATAATTAGCTCTATAATTAAGGGGTCATTCCACATGCCTGAGGTAGAACTTGGGACAAATATGGAATTTGACAAAAGGGAAAAACAAGGAGAAATGCTATCCAGGGGAATAAAGAGATGAATTGAAATAGAATTTGAAATAAAACTCAACAGACATTTCTTCAGTCTCTTCTTTTTCCACTTATTTGAAATGTCATCTAAATATTATTATAATTATATATAATATAATTGTAATTGTATATAAGATAATTATAATTATATAATATAATTATATATAATATAATAATATATAATATAATAATATATAATATAATTATATATAATATATCATTATCATAATTATATGTGATATAGAACTATATATAATATATAATTATATTACATCGTCAACCTCATCTTGCCTGGTTTTGTATTGTTTAACTGCTAAATTACTTGTAATGATGAAATGCTTTGTTTTGTAAAGCTTTCTCTGTTGCCTAAAATGTTGCCTCATCTGTGTCCTTACATTACTAACTGTAAACCATCATTTAAATGTCTCAGTTTAAGAATCATTGCCTTCTGGAACTAGCACATTTCTTCAGCAGAGGAACTGTGATATTTCTCCTCTGGACTACTGCTGTCTTGTGAACAATAAATGTTTATTGAATGACTACCACAGATAAAGAGTAAGCTAATTCAGGTCAATATGAGAAAAAAGGATTCCCATTAACATTTCTATAATTAGCTCTATAATTTAGAAAAGATGCCACATACCTGAGGTAGAACTTGGGACAAATAAGGAATTTAACAAAAGGGAAGAAAGGATAAATGCTATCCGGAGGAATAAAGAGATGAATTGAAAATAGAATTTGAAATAAAACTCAACTGACATTTAAGGTTTCCAGATTGAGATGCACACACTTAGCTGGTTTAAAACCAGCTAGATTGGTTGGGCGCAGTGGCTCATGCCTGTAATCCCAGCAATTTAGGAGGCTGAGATGGGTGGAGCACCTGAGGTCAGGAGTTCGAGACCAGCCTGGCCAACACAAAGAAACCCCGTTTCTACTAAAAATACAAAAAATTAGCTGGGCATGGTGGCGGGCATCCGTAATCCCAGCTACTTGGAAGGCTGAAGCAGGAGAATCACTTGAACCCAGGAGGTGGAGGTTGCAGTGAGCTGAGATCGTGCCATTGCATTCCAGCCTGGGCAACAAGAGTAAAATTCATTCTCAAACAAAACAAAAACAAAGCCAGCTAGATTGAAGCCAAATTACATACCAAAAACAGTTCTGAAAAGGTGCATATGATGAATTTTATCAAGAGATCAGAGGGTTCAAAGTGTTTGAAGACTTTGATTCTGATGGAATAATTTTTGGCTTGGAATAACTGGTAATTTAATTATAAGGATATTAAAATCCCTAACTAAAGGCGTAGACAGGATGGTTATAGAATAATAGTATACAAGTGGAAGGCAATCCATCAAAGTCTCCTGACTACCCTGAAGTTGATAGGAAATTGACATGACTTGTCTCAAGGAACAGAGTACATTGGGGGAACTTCTGAAAAGAAAGGAGTTTCTAACTTTGAAGACATGTCATATGGGTTCAGCATTGCTTCCTAAACAGAAGAAGACTTTTCTTTCTTTCCTTTTTTTTTTTTTTTTTTTTTCCTGAGACAGATTCCTACTCTGTCACCCACGCTGGAGTGAGTGGCGCGATCTGGGCTAACTGCAACTTCTGACTCCTGGGTTCAAGCGATTCTCTTGCCCCAGCCTCCTGAGTATCTGGGATTACAGGCGTGTACCACCATGCCCTGCTAATTTTTTTGTACTTTTAGTAGAGATGGGGTTTCGCCATGTTGGCCAGGCTGGTCTCGAACTCCTGACCTCATGTGATCTGCCCACCTTGGCCCCCACAAAGTACTGGGATTACAGGCGTGAACCACCGCGCCCAGCCAACAGAGGAAGGATTTTCTAATTGTTGACAGAATTTAGTGAAATCACCAGAGCCTGAAAAATAGGAAAATGAGTTCAAAGGTCATTACCATCATTGAAGATAAGGAAAGACTAAGAAGATTCTCATCACAATGGAGTACTTCTTATTTCTTACAGAAAAAGATTCTTGGCATCAGCCTCTTGAAGGCCTCCTTCATATCTTTATTTCTAAGGCTGTAGATGAGGGAGTTCAACATGGATGTGATGATTCCATAGAAGAGGGAAACCATCTTTCCCCAGTCCTTAGAGGTGGATGAAGGTGGTTGAAGATACATATAAATGGCTGTTCCATAAAAGAGGGACACCACAATCATGTGGGACCCACATGTCCCAAATGCTTTTTGCCGTCCTTCTGCTGACCTGATTTTTAATACTGCTTGAGCTATGAAGCCATAGGAGATGAGGATCAATGTCACTGGAATTAGAAGAATTAGTACACTAAAGAAGAAGAGCTCAGCCTCAATAGGCTTTGTGTCAGCACATGACAACTTGAGAAGTGCAGGCACCTCACAGAAAAAGTGGTCCACTTCCTGGTGACCACAGCGTGGCATGTTAAGAGTCAAGGAAGACTGCAGCACTGAGTTGCCGAAACCAATGAGCCATGAGAAGGCTGCCATCCTTAGGCAGAACCAATAATTCATGATGACTACATAGTGGAGGGGTCTGCAAACAGCCACATATCTGTCAAAGGACATAACAGCCAGAAGGAGACACTCTGTAGCACCTAGGGCCAGGAAGATGATGAGGTGGGCCACACAGCCAGCATAGCTGATGGTCTTTTTGTTGCAACCAATATTTACCAACATATGAGGGACTGTAGTTGTGGTATAGCAGAGATCTAAGATGGAGAGATTAGTGAGAAAGAAATACATGGGAGTATGAAGTTTGGGATCCAGAATGCACACCATCATGATGGACACATTGCCAAATATGGTGATTGTGTATGATATTAACAGGACCACAAAAAGGGGCATTTGTAGCCAAGCCCTATCTGAGAAGCCAAGTAGTATAAACTCTTTTGGGGAGCTCTCATTTTCCCAATTCATGATGACTCACTTATTTCGCACTCCTAAAAAAATGTAAGATAGGAAAGCAATCAATGTTTGTTTATTGAATACTCTTACTGGAGCTGAATTAAATTTAATGAATAGTTCAGCATCAAATACAATTTACAGTCAAGTGGATAAAGCCCTTGTAAAGTATAATATGGTTATGTTTAAGCTTAAAAGTAGTTCCTGTGTTTTCAGTAGTGTTTAAATTACTTTAAAGAAAATCATTACATTTAAATGACATAAAGTATGTAACATATGCATAACACATGGAAAATTGTGAGTTCTCAATGCATTTTATGTTCTCTCCTCTTCTTACCTCCTAACCTATCTTAATAAACAGTTTAGAAAGAAATATTACTTTTACTCCAATTATTTTAAATTTGGCCTGAAAATGCTGAGTAATATAGAGGTTATAAGAGTTGAATCTAAATCTGCAATTGATCTAAAGAAATTTTGCTTCTTTTAGTAACATCTTTACGTGTTTTTTTGAGTTGTGTCTGTCTCCTAAATGCCATGCATGTAGGTCCATTTCCACAAAGAACTACCGTGGGTATTAGTAATAAAATTATGGCTACTTGTGATATATAGTAATGACCACAGATGTCATCTCCCCATCTGCAAATACCTTAATTAAAATAGCAAAACTGATAACATAATTGTTGCTTTACTTAACATGTGCCAGAAACTGCTCAGTGTGTGAAATACATTCTTTGTAATTCTCATCAAACCCCTCACAGTCATGGTTTGCATTTTATTGCTTCTGTGATTCAGTAAGAATAAATAATTTGCACACTCATTATTGGTGAGGTCAAGACTAACACCTAGGATTTAAAGATCATTCTTTCTTTTATACCGTATTTCCCCCTAAATACACAGATAGTACAATAAGAATGACTGCATACAGCACAAAAGTGGTCATAAATTAAAATAGAAACAAACCAAAAGTCATATATTCAAGTTGATTTTCTTCAGTCTGTAAAAGTCATCAGTTATTTAGTTATATTACCTAAGTGCACCTAAGTTTCTTCAGTCTACTTTGCATGTTTAAATGAAATGTCATCGAGGTGGTTTACACCATTTGAATTTGCAAGCATAAAAATAGAAAGATAGACTGAAGAGAGAAGAGAAAATAAGTATTGACACAATTTACCACAGAATAAGATAACTTTTCCAGAGTAAAAACACTGATATATAAAGTATAATTTGATAATGGAATGAATAAATGAAAATGAACAGAGATGACCTTGAGATTTTTAACTTCTTCCATTATATATGATTTTTTTTAGCTATAGATACACATTATTTTTTGGCAAATAACAGTAATACACCTTTGGTTGAAAAATAGAAGAGAATATGAGATTAGGCTTTTTTGAATGTCCATGTAAATTTACAAAATGATAAATATGTAAGGTAATACATACATTAGATAACTTGATTTAGCCACTTTATAATGTACACATATATCAAAACATCATGTTGTACACTATAAATATATACAATTTTTACTCATTAATACAATTTTTTATATCAGAAAAAGACTACACAGAAAGATAAAACATAAATGGCAAGATAGAAAAATATACAATGTTTATGGAAAAAATGGTTATTATATTAAAATATAAATAATTATTACATAATAAATAGAAAAAGATCAAAAGTCCAATGGAAAAAAATGAGCAATGGACATAAATAAGCAGTTTGGGGAAGAAAACAACATAAAATGACAGTGAAAGTATAAAAGATTATAACTTTTTCATTATTGAAGAAACACAAATAAAAACAAGAAGAAAGTATCACATTGTCTTCCTACTTAGTAGCATTAAAAAAAATCACTGTTAAAGGTTAGCTGTTAGGTACAGTGCCTCTGGAGCCAGAATCTGCCAGGGTTTTATTACTGGATTGTGTGATCCTGGGCAATGAATGAACATTCTTGTGCTACATTAAAAAACAATCTCTGACTTGATAAAAAGAGAGTATTGTGAAGCTCAAGTGAGACAATGTATACACATCTGAACTTAGGACCCTGTCCCAAGCATACTAAGCATTTAATGAATGTGAGCTTGATATCAATAGCAGTATCATTAATACTAATCACTAATAAGTCATTAATAGTAATACTATATCATTATCTCAGCTTGTCTTGTATATGAGAAAACAGAAAATTTACTATTGGTGGTTCAAGTGATTGTTATAATTTCATAATATTATAACATGAAATTATTGAATTTCATATTATCACTTTGTCTTTGTTTCTAGCATAATATACTGAGTACATAGTTTTCCAGTAAATGGAAGTTAAATCAATGTAGTAGGTGATATCTGGTTATCTAAAGGGCATGGAATAAAAGAGGACCCTATTCAGTAGCTGTTATTTTCTACTCCTATTTTTTCACGTCCTCTTCTCTTCACATTTTATATGGCACTGATAATTTCTCTTATTTTCTTCATATTTTATATGGCGCCAATTTCTCTTTTACGTTATCAGAAAATGAACTTACCTCTTGACAAGAACATGTTGATTCCACTGTCACGTTGACTTTTTGTCCTATTTCTATTTTCTACATGAATCAAAAGAAATCTTAAATCCCACTGACCGTTTTTATGTACGGAGATATAATGAGCAAACCATTCAAAAGGGTGAAAGGATACGAAGGATTTTTGGAATCACTGAAAATACTTCATATTAATTTCAAAGTTCCCAGGAAACAAATTGGGCATTCTGATTATTTAACATGATGCAACTCAGAGGCAGGGATGTAGGTGAGATGTTCTTGAGAGATCCTTCCCACTCATGGTAATATAATACACTGTATTAGACGCCACTCACCTTTTTTCTAAATGTCCAAGAGATATTCACGCCTTTCTTTGTGCTGTGTTTCAAAGGAAGTCTGGTTCAAAGACAGATTAATAAATGCAGTTGAGTTTTTGAATTTTCAATCCTTACGACATTCTAACTCAACTACCTTTTGCCCACTGACCAAGAATGAAATTAGCATGAAACCTGGACTGCATCAAGAACATGTGAGAAAAATACTTATGAGGAGAGGAAAATGTGTATAGTTAGTGTGTCTTCAGTCATTGGGGCATTTTTGACTGACATGGGCTCTCCTCACCAGGTTCCTAGTGGATTTCTACAACGAGAAGTTGACTTTATAGACATCAACAACATTGGAAGTGTCATGGAAAGAAAGTTATGCCTTTAAATAAAGCCAACCAATATTTATTAAGGGAGTACCACTCACACAATTCTGTGTCCTCTTTTTAGCCCTAGAGATTCTAGAGTCCCTCAAGTTTAATTGGTCATTATGTCCAGAGAGTCAATAAGTCAACTCTATTCCTAACTGGGCTGGTTGCATAATACTACCACATATGTCGTTCACAAATTCTAAAACTAGGGTGAAGATTAGAGTAACAAAAATAAACAATGAAAAATAAATTTAAAGTTGTTTAATTAGGAAAGCACAAGGTTTAATGAACTTATAGCCCCAAATTCCTTTTAAATAGTTGCAAGGTCAAATAGGGAGTCCTATGATGGCGTATAGGGAAAAATGATATTTCTATTTTCACTGATTTTAGTAATAAGTGTTTGTAAACTAAAGCTACCAGAGATCTGTAGGTTAAAAATTATGTCATACAAAGTCACTTAACATATTAATATACACATTGAAATTTAAGGTTAGCATTAATTCACTGGGTCAGAACACACAGAAATTACATGAAATTGCAATAGGGGGAATAGTTTTTGAAAGAAGCAGCTGAGGGCTGGGGCGGTGGCTCACGCCTGTAATCCCAGCACTTTGGGAGGCCGAAGCGGACGGATCACCTGAGGTCAGGAGTTCAAGACCAGCCTGGCCAACATGGTGAAACCTAGTGTCTACTAAAAATACAAAAAATTAGCTGGGCATGGTGGTGGGTGCTTGTAATCTCAGCTACTCGGGAGGCAGAGGCGGGACAGGAGAATCGCTTGAACCTGGGGAGACAAGATAGGTCATTGCCCTCCAGCCTGGGCAACAAAAGCGAAACTCCATCTCCAAAAA
Organism: Homo sapiens; assembly: GCF_000001405.40. Taxonomy (NCBI): domain Eukaryota; kingdom Metazoa; phylum Chordata; class Mammalia; order Primates; family Hominidae; genus Homo; species Homo sapiens. The sequence continues at coordinate 357,022 of NT_167247.2, forward strand.
AAAAAAAGCTGATTTATGCAAGTTATGACTTAATATGTGACTTAATAAGTGCTTATCCTAAGATCTTAGTAAAATAAAGAAGTTGTAATTGAATTGAGCATCAGCCTAGATATAATCTTAAGGAAACTAATGTGCTCGTATTTTAATGTATCTATTTTTCCTCATTTTTCTTTTTGTGTAGAATATGATCATTTTCTAAATTAGGACATTTTCTTAGCCTGTGATTTTTGTAACTATATGACATCTGTTGTAGCTAATAATTTATATATAAGTTTAATAGACATATATACATACTTTCTATATGTAATATATATTTGTAATTAGTTTTCAAATACAATTTGTTGTGCTTGGATTATAATAGAAAAGTTATTTTATTTTTTGTGGTTTTACTTTTTTAAAAAAATTTTACCTTAAGTTCTGGGATACATGTGCAGAACATGCAGTATTGTTACATAGGTATATATGTGCCATGGTGGTTTGCTGCACCTATCAACCTGTCATTTAGGTTTTAAGCCCCTCATGCATTAGGTATTTGTCCTAACGCTCTCCTCCCTGTGCCGCCACCCTTCAACAGGCCCCAGTGTGTGATGTTCCCCTTCCTGTGTCCACGTGTTCTTATTTTCAACTCCCACTTATGAGTGAGAACATGTGGTGTTTGGATTTCTGTTCCCGTGTTAGTTTGCTGAGAATGATGGTTTCCAGCTTCATCCATGTCCCGGCAAAGGACATGAACTCATTCTTTTCTATGGCTACATGGTGTATATGTACCACATTTTCTTTATCCAGTCTGTCACTGATGGGCATTTGGGTTGGTTCCAAGTCTTAGCTGTTGTAAATGGTGCTGCAATAAACATATGTGTGCATGTGTCTTTATAGTAGAATTATTTATAATCCCTTGAGTATATACCCAGTAATGTGATTGCTGGGTTAAATAGTATTTCTGGCTCTAGATCTTTGAGAAATCGCCACACTGTCTTCCACAATGGCTGAACTAATTTACATTTCCACTAACAGTGTAAAAGTGTTCCTATTTCTCCCCAGCATTGCCAGCATCTGTTGTTTCCTGACTTTTTTTTTCCCAATGAAATGATTTGAATGGACACTTAAAACTGTTCATGAGTATACAAGATGATAAAGAAAACATTTATTAAATGAATAAAAGCTAAAAAGTGAAATGTTACAAGCAAATATCAAATATCCCGAATCTCTAGAATTTTATTGTTGAATATGCCTTAGTTATTACAAGTGGTCTTTATTCTTGGTGACTTAGGGATTCCCAAGAAATGTGCAATCACTCCTGGCAACTCAAAGTAGTAATAAGTTAACCTCAAGAGAACAATCTTGGTTAAAAAAAAAATTTTAAGTGTATTTTATAAATTATTATTATTTTTATTTTACTTTAAGTTCTGGGATATATGTGTAGAACGTGCAGGTTTGTTACATAGGTATACATGTGCCATAATGGTTTGCTGCACCTATCAACCTGTCATCTTTAAGCCCTGCATGCATTAGGTATTTGTCCTAATGCTCTCCCTCCCCTTGCCCCCCACCCCCTGACAGGCCCCGGTGTGTAAAGTTCCCCTCCCTGTGTCCATGTGTGCTCATTGTTCAACTCTCACTTATGAGTGAGAACATGAGGTGTTTGGTTTTCTGTTCCTGTGTTAGTTTGCTGAGAATGATGGCTTCCAGCTTCATCCGTATCCCTGCAAAGGACGTGAACTCATTCTTTTTTATGGCTACATAGTATTCCATGCTGTATAATTGTATTAATAGCACATCCAGGGGTGCAGCATTGCTACATGTCTTCTCTATCCAGGCACACTGATCGATCAGGGTAATTTATTTATTCATTGTTTGCAAGGTTCTATGCCAGCCAGCCAGTGCCAAGGACTTCAGAGATAAGCCACAATACCTGCCTATGTGTCTGGTTGGAACATGAACATGGAAACAAACCATTTAATCATTTACTCAATAAATCTTTATGTCATGGTGATAAGTGTCAGGCACTGTCATGTGCACAGGAGATATATTGATAATCAAAAGAAATAAAGTCTCTGTTCTAATGAAGCTTACATACTAGTAAGGAGATAGAAAACTAATAATAAGTAAATAGATATATAATACAATGTCAGATAGTGATAAATGCTATGAAGAAAAAGAAAGCAGGGTAAGAGAATCAAAATTAGCTGAGGCTGTTACTTTAGACAGCATGGTCAGTCAGTTTCTGTGAGGGGGCAACATTTGACCTGAACAGAGTTAGGGGTTCTCATTCACTTGGAAGATTCTAAACTGAGATTTCGAGTTTGAATTTTTTTTGAAATGTTGCCAGTTAATGCATCAATAATTTATCAGCCGGTGTTCATTATATAACGTTATACTTTAACAAGGACACTAAGCACTAAACTATTTAAAGATCTTCGTCTTTACAAAGGTACTACAAAGGAAACTACAAAGACTGTAGTTTCTGAAGTTAAGAAATGCAGACCGATCCTTTGTTTCTGCATTCATCCATTTGCATTGCTATAAAGGAATACCTAAGACTGGGTAATTTACAAAGAAAAAAGGTTTATTTTGGCTCACAGTTGTTTCCTGACTTTTTAATAATATATATATTTTATATATATTATATATATATATATATTTTTATCATTGGGATTAAATTTTGGCCTGGTGTTCACTTTCTTTATATATTTATGAACAATTTAATAATGAGGTGAAATAGCCTTAAGTCTGATATATGATGCACCCACATATAAATGGAAATGGCATGCACAAAGACACTTTACTATTGGAACTGTATTGGAAAATTTATGAAATTTTAGGTAAAATTGCACCTAAAATTGTGTTATTAGTGACTGTAAGTAGCAATGCTAAATTTATTGTACTTGATGAATGAATGTATTTAGGCTAGTCATGGTTACTTTGGTTTAAATGTCTAAATAACATCTTTAGTTTTAAAAATGTGTTTGTAATTTGTACTATTGACAGGAGGATATTCTTGGACTGCAGCGGTTATTGGCAATGTGTGATTTGTGTTTTCTTACTTTATAGAATTATCTAATGTGATATGCTGATTTTTACAGGTAATATTTAGATATTTCTAATAATTGTATATTTGACAACCTACTAAAATGATTTGCTTTGGGAAAAAACTGAAAAACAATACTCAAACATAGGCTGCCTGTAAGAGGCTAACTTTAACTTAAAGAACACACATTGACTGAAAAAAATATTTCATGCAAGTAGAAACCAAAAGACAGCAGGGGTAGCTCTACTTATATTAGACAGACTTTAAGTCCAAAACTGTAAAAAGAGACAGAGAAAGTCATTACATGATAAAAGGGTCAATTCATCAAAAGGACGTAACAATTGTAAATATATATACACCTAATACTAGATCATCTAAATGTATAAAGAAAGTATTAATAGACCTAAAAAGAAACAGACTGCAATACAGTAATAGCAGGGTTTTTCAACACTTCACTTTCAACAATGAACATGTCATCTAGACAGAAATCAATAAGGAAACACTGGACTTGAAACGCACATTAGATCAAATGGACCTAACAGACATATATAGAACATTCCATCCAACAGCAACAGAATACTCATTCTTCTCAAGTGCAAATGGGACATTATCCAGGATCAAATATTAGGGAACAAAATAAGTCTCCACAGTTTTAAGAAGATCGAAATCATATCAAGTATCTTTTCTGACCACAAAGTTATGAAAGTAGAAGTGAATAATAGGAGAAAATTTAAAATATTTACAAACGTGGAAATTAAACAACATGCTCCTGAATAAACAATGGGTTAAATAAAAAATCAAAAGCAAAATTAAAAAAAATCTTAAGACAGATGAAAATGAAAACACAACATACCACAACTTATGGCATGTAGCAAAAGAAGATATTAGCAAGAGGAATGTTTGTAGTAATAAATGCCTATATTAAAAAAGAAGAAAGATCCCAAACAACCTAATGTTACATGTCAAGAAACCAGAAAAAGAGAAGAGCAAACTAATCCCAAAGTTAGCAGAAGGAAGGAAATAACAAAGATCAGAGCAGAAATAAATAAGAAGCTAGAAAACAATAGAATGCATTCACAAAACTAAGACTTGAATTTTTGAAAAGATAAAAACAATTGGCAAAACTTGAGTAGACCAACTAAGAAGAAAAGAAGACTCTAATAAAGTCAAAAATGAAAGAGGAGACATTACAATTGATACTACAGAAGTACAAAAGCTCATAAAAGAATACTATGAACAATTTTACACCAACGAATAGGGTAACCTAGAAGAAATGGTTAAATTTCTAGAAACATAACAAAAATGAATCATGAAAAAAACAGAAAATCTGAACAGACTAATAATGAGTAAGGAGGTTGAATCAGTAATAAAAGTCTTCTACCAAACAAAAACCCAGAATATGATGGATTTTGCATTCATGGTTTGGAAGAATTAATATTATTAAAATATGTGTACTACCTAAAGTGATACACAGATTCAGTGCAATTTCTATAAAAGTTCAATGACTTTTTTGTTTCACAGAAATAGAAAAAGCAATTTAAAAATTCATATGGAATGACAAAAACCCCTAAGTAGCTGAAGCACTTTTGAGCAAAAAGAGCAAAGCTGGAGGCATCACACTACCTGTTTCAAAATATATTACACAGTTATAGTATTCAAAACAGAAAGGTAGTGGCATAACAACAGACACACGGACCAATGTAATGTGATAGAGAGCCCAGAGATAAACTCATGCATTTGTGGTTAACTGATTTTTGCCAAAGATGCCAAGAATGAACACACTATGGAGAAAGGGCAGTATCTTTAATAAATGATGCTGGGAAAATCAAATACCCAAATACAGAACAATGAAATTGAAACCTTATTTCACACCATATGCAAAAATCCTCTAAAAATGGTTTAAAGATTTAAATGTGTGACCAGAAAATGTAAAATTACTAGAAGAAAACATAGGGAAAAATGTTCTTGAAATTAATCTTGGCAATAATTTATTGGTGATGATCTCAATAGCACAGGAAACCAAAGCAGAAATAGACAAATGGGATTACCTCAAACCAAAAACCTTCTGTATAACAAAGTAAATAACGGATTGAAGAGACAACCCATGGACTGGGAGAAAATATTTACAAACCATACATGGCTAATATCCAAAATATGTAAGAAATGCAAACAACTTAAATTTGTTAGCAAGAAAACAAAGAACCCCTTTTAAAACTGAGCAAAACACTTAATGGACATCTTTCAAAAGATGACATAAAAGACTAACAGATACATAACAAAATTTCTCAACATCAAGGAAATACAAATTAAAACCACAATAAGATATCACCTCATACCTGTTAGAATGGCTATATCAATAAAATAAGAGTTAATAAGTATTAGCAAGGATGTGGAGAAGGGAATCCTTATATACTAATGGTAGTAATGTAAATTAATACAGCCATTATTGAAATCAGCATGGAGGTTCCTCAAAAAAAGATAGAATTACCATATGATCCAGCAACTATATTTCTGAGTACATAGCCAAAGAGATTGAAATTAATATGTTAAAAATATATTGGTAGATTTTCCTCTAATTTGGTCTTAACGTCTCTCTTTGAAGAGGAGCCAGAAACTCTAGCCCTGCTCTGATGGGCTCCAGTGGAGGTGGTTGTGGTTGTGGATGTTTTCAGTGTTTTTTTCGTGGAATACTTCTATATCCTGATGGAGAGCTAATGCCTAATTGTCCTATTTATGACCAGGTGTCCCTCTCACTGGAAACTCATTTTCACTGGCAGACACCCTTGTGGCTCTTGTCTGACTAGTGTGTCCAGTTCATTCCTACCAAGATAACCACTCTTTAAGAGAGCCTTGTCCAGAAAAGAAGTTAATTTCACGTATGTCAGTCACGCGAGAAGCAAGTAAAAAAAAACACGTAATAGAAGTAGTTTTATTACTTAAAGATCCAGAGAGAAGAAGGAAACTTTCCTCACAGGCCTAACGGGAGAAGGGGCAGCCCTCAGAGACATGCATGCTCAACCAGTGGGTGGGTAGCAAGGGAGAGTGAGTGACAGCCGAGAAGGCCGAAGCCTTTACTGGGGTACACAGCATTTCCTAAGCAGGGAGTAACTGATTGCTGGGTTTAAAGCAAGCAGGCATGAGTTCTTGGGAGTTATGTTGTATTGAGAGGTGTTCACTACTGCAAGTCTGCAGTCCATGTGGGGTGTGGGGATCAGTGGGATAAGTCAAACAGGTTGTATCTAGGTGCTCCACAGGAAGGTGGAAACCAAGAGGCCAAATATCTGGATTGACCACCTTGAGAAACTGGGAGAGGAGAACTCGAAATTGTGTTAAGGGTGACTAAGCCCTGCTTCTGGTATGAGAAAGTTCAACTTATATTGAAAATAAACACTGAGGCAACATAAAATCATAAGAATTCACTACAGATATTTGCACTACCATGTTCATTGTAGCATTATTCACAATAGCTGAGATATGGAAGGAACTTAAATGCCCATCAATGGATAAACAGATAAATATATAAAAGGGATATAATGTGATATATATGAGCCACATTATCTATATAAAATGGAATACTATCCAGCCTTAAAGAAAAAAGGAAATTCTGTCTTTTCAACAACATTCATGAACCTGCAGGACATTATGCAAAGTGAAAGAAGCCAGACACAGAAAGACAAATACCACGTGATCTCACTCATATGTGGAATCTAAAAAAGATAAACTCATGCAAGTGGAGAGTAGAATATAGCTACCTTGGGGGTAGGGGATGGGGAAAGGGGAGATTTTAAACACAAGATATTTTTTAACCTTTTGCAGGAAAAATCTTGGAATTGAATTTAAAAGACAACTGGGATGGCATAAATAATATAGGTCAGTCTCAAAGAGCACGTCATTAGTAAGGAATAGATATACAGTTTAGTCTTTATGTATTCTAGTTTTTCAGTTGAATGGCTCTGAAATCACTCCTTTTTTCCAGTTGTCTTGTAAATTTTACCCTTAGCCCCATGGAAAACTGAAAAAAAATCACATGGCTCAGTAAAACCCATTCCCTTTATTGTAAATATAACTCACAGCATCTTTTCCCATATTTGTAAGTGATAAATTCACTGTCATCACAGTAAGACTATAACATCATACTGAAGATATTTCTGTGAAGAGTTTTGTACTGAGAACACCACACCAGGACAACTTGAAGGGCATTAATTGCAACTTTGGGATTTATACTCCCAAAGGCCCCAGTCAATGAAAGAGTATCCCATTATTCTTTTTGGTTCCATAAAGATTCCATTTACTCTGGGATAAAGGGTCCATCCCCTGATACCTTGAATGCTCTAAAGTATTCCCACATTCTGCTAAAAAGCAGATCTTTTGGACAAACTCAGGCTCTCTTTTCTGTAGCAATGACAATCACAGTTATTTCCAGACTCTGTTCTCCATAGTTAGATTTAAAACATTGGCAAAAATGTTATAAGAAGGCAATTAGGTTGATGTTTCTAGGTTGCATGGCAACCAGAGAGCCCCTTCATCAGTTTATACATGATGAGGTCGTAGGCCAGGTAGAGAGTGACAGGGAACAGGGACAAACACAGGAAGGTCAGTACTGAAAGAAGTTGGCGCACTTCTTAAGGGGTGTACAGCTTCTGTATTTCAAAATTGCAGGAAGTGTAGATTTTAAATGTTCTTACTACAAAAAAATGATGTGTGTGAGGTGATAGGTACATTAACTAGCTTAATATAATCATTCTATGATGTATATACATATCAAAACATTACAATGTACTCCATACATATATACAATTATTACTAGTCAATGAAAAAGTAAGAAAACAAACCAGATATAGTATAAAGGAATGAATATGACACGAATTGGGAAAATGTCTCTTAGTAATAATTGGGGAAAGAAGAGACACTCAGCCATCCATTTTCCCTACAGTGTTTGATTTAAAAGAAGAGAGAAGATATTTTATTCCATAGTTCATAAAAGCTACATTTGATAGGGTCTTCATTTCCCTCTTTTCCTCCAAGAAGAAAATCGAAGCTGCAAACTTTTCTCTACGTGAGTTCTGGGTTTTTTTTTTTTTTTGTCCCTTATTTCCTATCCTTTTTATCGACTCTGGAAGAATGCTGAAAGATGGTTTATACAACAGAAAAATATCAGATTTCACCTTTTAATTACTGTAGTAAGGAAGTCAGGCAGCTGCATTAGGAAAGAAAATTATACCTGCATTAGCAAAAGTATCCACAACATTTGAGTTCAAGTATCTTACAGAATATTACCTTTCAACCTAGCGAAATTTTTAAAAAAATTCTTGCAATTTTTCCATGATTTCTCAAAAGGTAATGATCATTTCATTATCAACAATATGGAAAAGTGTACAGATATCTTTGTACCTGTCTGGAGCATCTGCACAGACTTGGCCCAAGTTCAACGTTCCTAGCTCTCCAGCTGTAACTCAACTAATTAGGCAAACCCTTACATCTTTTTCAAGAGTCAAGATTAGAATATTTGAGTTGTTAAAAGTTTTTCAAAACACTGAAGGTGAGTTGGGTGTAAATAAATTTGTCTTTTGTCATATTTTATCAGAGAGTATGAGAGGAAGAGTTGGCTGTGGCAGGAGGGGAGCAGAAGGGGGATGGCAATGCTATTTAGGAATATTGAAGAAAACCCAGAAATATAAATTATAAGTTGTGACTCAGAATTTAAAGTATAGTTCAGTTATTGGCCTAAAGCATATAAAATTTTTTAGAAACCACATTTAAGTCTTCTTGTCCCTGTCTAACAATCCTGTGTTATACATTCTTTCAATTTCAAATGCCACATTCTGACCTCCTCTTCACTGTTGTGCCTCAAAGCACTCTTCCTTTCTCTCTTACACCTCCCGGTGTTTTTGTTAGACTCTGTAATCTTTCTGTCTTCCAATAATAATTATACCCCCATGTAACTTTGGAAGCACTCTATCACTGATATCTCTACTCTATTTCACTTTATTAATCAGCTTTGCTTATATTGTGAATTTTTATAAGTTGGTGTGTGTGTGCATGTCTGTTTAAACCTTCATTTGCATGTTATTTTATTCGTCTAGAAATAAACTGCTAGCATAAATAAATGAATATCATTTAATTCTTTCTATAATCATATCCAATTATTTCTTTTCAGTTCATATTAATATTTTAAAGTGACTACCTAATTGCTCTTTAACATGGGAAGTTCCTATCTATAAGTAAGATTATTATGGCTGCAGTTATTCCTTTCTCTGTAACTGCAAAATTGGAAATAGTCTGAAAATGCAAAAAAAAATCAATTTAACTTTTTAAAATAAAAAATTATTTTCTTAAATATTGTCTTTCTGATTATGGAATATCTTAGTCTTCATTTATCCAAATGTTAACTCAAGGATGTATATAAAAGAACTCAGTAACTTGAAAAGCTATTACTTGTATCCACAGCTGGACAAATATCTCAATGAAGCATACAAAGGAAACTGTATAAAAATTCTACTGCCATAATGGTGCACATTATCTGGAATTGGGATACTTTTTTCTCCAATCTGTTTGCAAGTGAGCAGTTGGCAATGCATGGACAGACTTTGAGTTTATGCGATTCTTTCTTTAGGTACAGGAAAAATAAGAATGTTGATGAAAAAAAATGCAAGTTTTGAAGACTTCTTTATTCTACTTGGATTTTCTAACTGGCCTCATCTGGAAGTAGTTCTCTTTGTGGTTATCTTGATCTTCTACTTGATAACACTGATAGGAAACCTGTTCATCATCATCCTGTCATACCTGGACTCCCATCTCCACACTCCCATGTACTTCTTCCTTTCAAATCTCTCATTTCTGGATCTCTGCTACACCACCAGCTCTATCCCTCAGTTGCTGGTGAATCTCTGGGGCCCGGAAAAGACCATCTCTTATGCTGGTTGTACGGTTCAACTTTACTTTGTTCTCGCACTGGGAACCGCAGAGTGTGTCCTACTGGTGGTGATGTCCTATGATCGTTATGCAGCTGTGTGTAGACCTTTGCATTACACTGTCCTCATGCACCCTCGTTTCTGCCGCTTGTTGGCTGCGGCTTCTTGGGTAAGTGGTTTTACAACCTCAGCACTTCATTCCTCCTTTACTTTCTGGATACCCCTATGTAGACATCGCCTAGTGGATCACTTCTTCTGTGAAGTTCCAGCACTTCTGCGATTATCATGTGTTGATACCCAGGCAAATGAGCTGACCCTCATGGTCATGAGCTCCATTTTTGTTCTCATACCTCTCATCCTCATCCTCACTTCCTATGGTGCCATTGCCCGGGCTGTACTGAGCATGCAATCAACCACTGGGCTTCAGAAAGTGCTTAGGACATGTGGAGCCCATCTTATGGTTGTATCTCTCTTTTTCATTCCAGTCATGTGCATGTATCTCCAGCCACCATCAGAAAATTCTCAAGATCAAGGCAAGTTCATTGCCCTCTTTTACACTGTTGTCACACCTAGTCTTAACCCTCTAATCTACACTTTCAGAAACAAGGATGTAAGAGGGGCAGTGAAGAGACTAATGGGGTGGGAATGGGGGATGTGACAGGGAAATCATGTTGGCTGTTGTTTTTCCTAGGGTCTTATCCATTTTGAAAGGTTGTTTCCCTGCTTCTTTGTGATTTGTGTTTCATCTAACAGCTCACAAAACATGGAATAGTTCAGTTCCCCCATTTGTTGCTCTGTTTAATATTTAGTTCTGAAATATTATGTTGAGATAAAGGTTTTGATTAGTACCATTTTGTTCTTTTACAATTCTATATTTATTTCCATGAAAATTGTGGACTGTGGTTTCAACATAAATAAATGTGTGTGTGAATAATTATGAGGAGATTATTTAAAAAATATTGGCAATATTTCTGACAATGTGCTAAATTATGAACTGACCATTGATATGTATAGGAAGAGAAGGGCAATATTGCAAAGATGTAGGCTGAAGAAGTTTTTGGTTATTAAATAAACCTTAAATGAAGCTAAAAATAGTCACAGCAAAGAAAAATAGTAAACATAATGAATAACACCATTTATTATATGGTAAAGGATATGTCATAATTTTTTGGTTGAAGTTCACTTTTTAAAGACACTAAATTATATAATTTATCCTGTAGGTCTGCATTCTTGTCACATTGAACAGTAAACTAATATCTCTTTAAAATGGCTGATTCGTTCATCTGTCCATTTATTCATTAACTTATTCTTCATTAGCTAAATCTTACTGGACATGTACTCTCTCCCAGTTTGTGAAATTCTTGGTAACATGTATAAATATAACATACTTTGTCTGAACAGAATGCACTCTCTATCGGGAAAAATGGTAACATAAGATAAAAGATGAAGTATCTGTACATGGCTTAATTTGTCACTGGGGTTAATGCTAATAAATTAAGATAGCTTTTAAAAATCAGAAACAATATACTCTGATTACTCTTCAGATTGTATACATCTTTCACTTTTTAAAAATCGAAAGCAAAACAATAAGTTTGATAATAAACTCTGATAATAAATTCATAGCTCCTGTAGGAAGACAGTGCTATTAAATGAAACAAAGCAGAATATGTGCTTAATTTGCTTTAGTTGGCCTAGTTAATGACATATTAAAGATAGCTTAAAACTCTTAACATCCTTGTTCTTTGCTGAATAGCATTATTAAAAAAATTTCTTTATTTTGATTTTATTTTTTCCAGCTTTACTGAGGCACAAATAAAATAACATATATTTAATGTGCACAATGTGATTATATATAAATCAAACCAAATTGTGAAATTATTACCACAGTCAAATTAACACATCCATCATCTCACATCGTTACTGTGTGTAGGGGGAGCGGGGAGGGTCAGGACACTTAAGATCTAATCTCTAAGCAAATTTCAAGTATACAGTACAGTATTATTAACTATAGTCACCATAATCTACATTAGATCTCCAGAATGTATTCATCTTATGACAGAAAGTTTGTACCATTTGGCTGTCTCTCCACTTCCCACCCTCCAGCCCATGGCAACCACCATTCTATTCTCTGCTTCTATGGGTTCAGTTTTTTTATTTTTTTGATACACGGTCTCACTCTGTCACACAGGCTGGAGTGCAGTGGTGCGATCTTGGCTCACTGCAACCTCTGCCTCCCGGCTTCAAGCAACTCTCCTGCCTCAGCCTCCCCAGTAGCTGGGACTACAGGCACCCGCCACCACGCCCAGCTAATTTTTGTATTTTAGTAGAAACTAGTTCTCACCATGTTGGCCAGGCTGGTCTTGAACCCCTGACCTGAAATGATCCACCTGCCTTGGCCTCCCAAAGTGCTGGGATGACAGGCGTGAGCCACTGTTCCTATCCGAGTTCAATTTTTTTAGATTCCACATGTAAGTGTTATCATACATCTTTTGTCTTTCTGTGTGTGGTTTATTTCACTTAGCACAATATCCTCCAGTTCATCCATGTTATAACAAATGGCAGGATTTTCTTTTTATTGGCTGAATAATATTTCTCGCTGTGTGTGTGTGTGTGTGTGTGTGTGTGTGTGTGTATGAGATCACATTTTCTTTATCCATTCCTCCATCAATGGATGCTTAGGTTGTTTCTTCATCTTGGCTGTCATGAATAGTGCTGCAATGAACATGGGGGCATAGATACCTCTTCGGAATACTTACTTCATTTTTCTTGGATAAGTACCCAGTGGGATTATTGGGATCACATCACATCTCACACAGACTTCACAAAATATGAGAACATAGATTCCTCCTGCCTCCGTGGAAATCTTACCATTTGTAATATGTCATGTGTCACTCCAGCTTCTCAAGATCTACAAGACTCTTTTCTTTTCAAATTTATTGAAGTATAATTTATGTACAAAGAAATCTACACATTTTAAGTATATAGTTCAATGAATTTTTTTATATTTTCTTTTTATTGTATTTTTGTTAGACATCAAATATTGGATTTAATAAGCTATCGGAAAAAGTGTATAATTATAATCCTTTATACTGTAACAGTACTACACAACTTATAAAGCACATTAATATATTTTGTTTCATTAGAATTTTGGTCATCATAGAAACCCTAAAGCTTTGTTGACTATTAGCCTCTTGAAACAAAAGAAAAATAAGATATAAACATTATTGTTCCTATGTTAAAGATTAGGAAATTGAGTCTCAGAGAGATTAAGTAGTCTTGTCTAAATGCACGCACTAATAAATGGCAAATTTGAGTCTCAAAGACAGGTTTCTCAATATCAAATTGAAAGAATAGTTCAGTGAGTCTGACAAATGTATAATTGTGTAAATGCCACCACAATCAAGATTATAGGACATTTCTATTACTCCCCAAAGAACTTCCGTTTTGTAGTCAACTTTCCCCTTTTAGTCATAGCCTGAGGCAGCATTAATTTTCTCTAAATGTACTTGGTTTTTCCCACTTTTAGAATTTCAAATAATTGCAATCATGCAGTGTGTAATCTTTGGGTGTGGCTTGTTTCATTTAGCATGATGTTTTTGACATTTATTATGTTGCCACATGTATCAGTTACTTTTTCCTTTTTATTGCTTGTTAGAACTCCATTGTACGAATGTGCGACAATTTATCCATTTATCTGTGAAGGGCTTTGGGAGTATTTAAAATTTTTGGCTATTATGAATAATGCTGCTATGAAAATTTGTATACAAGTGTTTGTGTGGATGCATGTTTTCACTTAATTTGGGTAAATACCTTTTATTTGTACCTCTCCAGGAGGACCACATGCTTAGTGTATATTATCTTTATGAGATACTGCAAAAATGTTTTCAAGTGGCTGTTCTATTTTCACTTCAAACAGCAGTGTATGAGAGTTCCAAATGAACTCACATTCTTTCTAATACTTGGTATTGTCAGTTTTTATACTTTTCACCTCTCAAGTTAGGTTACCTGTGGCTATAATTTGCATTGAGGGGTGTTGACATTGACCATCCTCTTGTGTGCTTTTCATATGCTTCATATATGTTATTTTGTGTAGCTTCTGTTCAAATATTTTACTCACTTTAAAAATTGGGTCATTTGTCTTCTTATTGTTGAATTTGAAGTTCTTTGTATACTCTGAACTCAAGTCCTTGGTCAAACAAATCTTTTGCAAATAGAATACTGTCATATCTTTCAAAGAGAAAAATTTTAACTTTAATAAAATACAGTGTGTCATTTCCACAGAAAAAGCCTGGTGGCATTTTGATTGGGGATTGCATTGAATTTATAGACCAATTGGAGAAGAACTGGCAACTTGACAACATTGACTTTTCTGATCTGGGGACATGATATAGATCTCCATTTACTTACATCTTATTTTCTTTCAGAAGCATTTGAGGTTTTCATTGTATAGCTATTGTCCATATTTTGTTAAAGTCACCTCTATGTATTTCATGTTTTTAGATACCACTATAAATTGTATAGAAATATGACTGATTTTTTTCCATCGTCTGTTTTATTTTATTTTATTATTATTTAAGTTCTAGGGTACATGTGCACAACGTGCAGGTTTGTTACGTAGGTATACATGTGCCATGTTGGTTTGCTGCATCCATCAATTAATCATTTACATTAGGTATTTCTCCTAATGCTATCCCTCCCGCATCCCCCCCACCGCCCCCACAGGCCCTGGTGTATGATGTTTCCCCCCAGGTCCAACTGTTCTCATTGTTCAATGCCCACCTATGCGTGAGAACATGTGGTGTTTGGTTTTCTGTTCTTGTGATAGTTTGCTGAGAATGATGGCTTCCAGCTTCATCCATGTCCCTGCAAAGGACATGAACACATCCTTTTCGATGGCTGCATAGTACTCCATGTTGTATATGTGAATTTTCTAGGCCTTAACTCCAACTGAGCTTCCCATCTACAATGCTTTAATAGTTTGTGATCTACTCTAATTCACATTCCTCCCATACAAAGCACTCAAATTAACAGAAGCTCAACAGAGATCATTTAGTGTCTTTTATTCCTTTTGATTCCTCAGATGTGACTTTCAATGTGTTTTATTTATCTGAGTGTGTATTGTAGAGAAAAAAGTTGAGGGTTGCTTCCTTAGAAATACTTTGCTGTAATTAAATCATGTTATGCCAGCTGTATTTTCACAAGTTACTAACATCACACCTAAAAATGTTAACATTTGCTGGCACCCAGTAGATTGGCAGGGGCCAAAAACTCTCCTACAATTCTAGTTACCAAAACATGAAAAATATTGGAGCTTGGTACAATCTCCTACAGACCAGGATATCAGACATTTCCTGGATTTTGATAACTGATTGAATTCTGCTAGTCCCCACAGGTTGTAGGATCACTGGTCAAATTCCTCTCCAATAAGATAGAGAAGTTTAGACATATGATTATATGACTATTTAATCATATTTATCTTAAAAATAATATTTAATATATTTTAAAGTAAACTGGAATGATATATACCAAGCTCATGGTAGTTGTCTCTGGATTTAGTGTTGGGTCAGAGAGTGACAGTTGAAGGGGATATGAACTTTATCTGTGATACTTTATGTGCTAAAAATTCTGAAAATAAAAATGACAAAAGTTATGGTTGATGATTCTGAATGATGGGAACATAAGGGTTTATTTTTAATATTTTAAATATCTAAAATAAAGGATGAAGAAATAATATAGAATGACTTGTTAAAATATCACTTCAAATTAAAATTCACTATAATGGTAATAGCAGCTAACATGTATTGAATGATTATGCACTAGGCATCAAGGATAATGTTTACGTATTTTTCACATGGAGTTTTCACAACAATCAAGACTACTGAAGCCAAGACTGTTTTCAGTTGCTTCACATAAGTGGACAGGAAAATACCTGATCATGCTCTTAAAAGTACTGACTTTAAAATATAATTGTATTGTAAATGTGACTTGATTTTCATACCAAGACTTTGTCTGGTACACATGGAATATATCACCTAGACACAATGTAACAATTGAAAAATCTTCATTAGTTTATAAACTCACAATGTGCTTTTTTTTTTAAACATGGGATGTAGGCTAGCTATCACAGCTAATTTAGCTTTTTTATATATTTCTGCAAAGCTTTTAACAAGACATCAAAAGAAATTATTGATAACAATATTTTGGAAATATTAAATAATTTTGTTAAAAGTTTTCTGAGTTTGGTAGTGACCTTCTGAGTATAGTTTGAATGGTCTTCAAAGGTAATTTTTAACACTTTTGCAGGGCTGAACTTGGCCTTGAATTTTAGAGATGTTAGACACAATTAAAAATTCAAATTAATAAAACAAATATGTATAATGTAGTCATTATATTTCCTTTTAAAAAATGTTTCATGCCTTTTCCCATTCCCAAATTAGACTACCTAACAAGCTATATCTCAAATTTGGCCTCTAGCATACTGAAGAATTGGGGAAGAGGTTTCAGGTAACTCAAGATAACCCATTCCCTTCCCTGCAGATACAGCTCAAAGTATTTTTCTCTGCTATGGCTGGACTATAGATTCCTTGTCATCCTCGTACAACAATGTGGCATCATGCCAAGAACATCACTGAGAAACTGTTCTAACCAGGATAACTCCTTGAAGGGCATTAATTGCTACTTTGGGATTTACCCTCCCAGTGGCCCAAGTCAAGGAAAGCAAGTCACATTCTTTTGTTTCCAAAAAGGGCCCATTGACTCTAAGATAAAGACCCATCCCTTGATACACTGAAAGCTCTAATAAGTTTATCTTTTGGGTAAAACTAAATTTTTTTAGTAGACTCAGAGCTTTCTCTTCTGTAGCAATGATAGTCATAGCTACATTCAGACTGTTTTCCTAATTGATGTAGTAGATGAGGGAAGTGTAGGCATTTATGTTGGTGATTTCAAGGTGATCAAAATCAGAGATCAGATCAGTCTGTGCATGATGAGGGCATCAGCTAGGAAGACAATATACAGGGAATGTGGACAGATACAGGAAGGACAGAGTGAAAGGCATTGTTTGAGTACTGCTTAAGTACTAGGTAATATATAAAGAAATATTATGGTAAGAATAAAAAAACTTGGCCAGTGACATGGGGATGGGGAAAAGAGATTATTTTCTCCCTCCGTTATACCTGATTTCCAAAACTAGAGAGGATCACTTATTCCTAGTCCATGAAAGCAACTTTTAACTTTTAATTTTTGTGGGTACACAATAGGTGTATGCATTTATGGGGTACATGAGATTTTTTTTGATAATTTCTTTCTTTTTATTTTTTGTAGAGACATGGTCTCACTTCATTGCCCAGGCTAGTCTCGAACTTCTGGGCTCCAGAGATCCACCCACCTTGGCCTCCCAAAGTGTCAGGATTACAGGTGTGAGCCATGGCACCCGACCCAGGTATTTTTGATACAGGCATACAATGTGTAATAATCACAGCAGGCTAAATGGGGTATCCATCACCTCAAGCATTTATCCTTTCTTTGTGTTAAGGATAACTTAAACTTTTGATATGGCTTTTGATAAGGCTTTTAACTTTTGATAAGGCTTTTATTTTCTGCTCCACCAGGAAGAAGAAAATTAACCCAGAAAAATTCCTACCTTTTCCTTGCTTGCATCTGGTAAGTTTTTGTTTGTTTGCTTCTTATCTCATATCTCATTCTAACCTCTCTATGTAAGATTGCTCAAAGATGGGTCATGCAATTGGCAAAGGTATCTCACAGCTAAATGTTGTTTTAGTTAATGTAATAAATTATCGAGGCAACTGTACAAGAAAGAAGAAAATTTTATCTGCATGAGAGAAGGTAACTATAACATTTGTGTTCATATTTCTCATGATGTATTATCTCCTGTTCTAGAGAAATTTTTAAAAATCTCTTGGAAAATTTTCATCTTCCCTCAAGGGCTGTGACCTCTAAGTCAAGTAATCTTCATGATTTACTCTTTGACTATTGCTGCTTTTTGATTCAGCTATAGCTTTTAAAATTTTCTTTTAAAACAATGTGCAGACTGATTTTCCTGGATGGTTGTTTAAGTTGTTGAAAGTAATCTAGATTAGTGTAACAACTGGCTAATGATTATTTACATTACCAAGTCTGTTAAAAGGTCTGAGGTCAATCTTTTAATCTTGGGACCAAACTGAATGTTCCAAACTTTTCTGCTGAAACTCAACCAATTAGCTACTCCTGACATTTCTTTCAGGCATTGAATTTATAAAACATGAGCGATTAAGAGACCCCTAAAAGAGGCAATCACAGGTGGCCCCACAATGATTTCTTTCTTCCTGTGCCATAGCCAATTGGGAGGTATAAGAAAAATAACTGACTGTGGAAGGAATGAAATAGAGGGCATGTGGCAAAGCTGGAAGAGGCAAAGAATTCAGAGAAAATGGGGTATTTAAATGGTGGGTTGCTATGCCTGACACAATAACTATATAACAAAAATAAGTATCATTTTTTTCTATGAAAGATTGAAAACTCACTGGAGAAAAAGCATCACCTAGGAGTCATAACTATTTGTAAGATATATTTTATTTTTAACAAAAAAAGTAACATGAGATTCACTGGGCACAATGTATTAAATGATGAACAGCCACTTAATGATTCATTAAATATTCAGAACTCTCTAACTTGGAGAATAAATATGTACTAATTATAGCTCATGCTCAGAATTTATATACTATCTAAATTATTGTCCTGGAGAAAAATACATCATGTAGAAACCTTCTTCAGGCCCTGTGGTTCAGCTTCTTGAACCCTGTGATAGACACACCTGCAACTCTAAGAACTACACTCAGGTTCTCCTCCATTTTCCTGCCCCTCCCACTTTTCCTTCCTTCTCTGTTCTCTCACTGAATTTTTATCTTCCTTTCCTTTCTGTAAAGTTTGAATCTTTTCAAATTCAGTTGTAGTCACACATCCTTTAGAAAGCATTCTATCACTGTTCTCCCCAGATTTTTAGCTTAGTTCGTATCATGAATACCCATATATTGATGAGCAAGTGTCTGTGTCTTCTCTACTTGTATTCAATTTTTCAGTTTAGAAATACATTTTGAGTCCAAGTAAACAAATCACAAGATAAGATTCTTATCTAATTGAAGCTAAACATTTTTTCTTTAGGTGAACATTTTGAAATGACTAAATTCAATATTTTCCACATATCTTTTCATCCATATGTAAGATTATTGTGATTGCAATGATTACGTTTTCCACAATCACATTTAAGAAAATAACCTGAAAATGCTGAAAAGAAAACTAAAGTTCCTTATTTATTAACAAAGAAAGATTTTGTGTTTTATGGAAATTATCTTCCTTAGCTAGGTTAGGAATTTCCTTCAATTACCATTTACCTAGATGTCACCCTAAAATGAATGAGAACTTGATAGTTATTTTTCTATAATAAGGCAAACATCTAAATAAAATATAAAATTAAAAAATTATTTTGTATTTTTGTGACTTTTTATTATGGTAAAATTTCAAACTTAGAGAAGAGTTGCAAAAAAGTAGTACAAAAGACTAACATTTACCCTTTTACCAGATTGAGTATTAGTTTACATTTTCCCCCAAAGCTTTGTTATATCATCTATCAACTATCTATCTATTTATCTATCTATCTATCTATCTATCTATCTATCTACCTATCTATCTCTTTTTCTGGGCTAGTTGAGAGTAAGTTGGAGATGACACGTTCCTTTACGCCAAATACTTTATTCAGTGTTTTTTGTCTAAGGAAAAGGATGTTACTTTACATAAGTCCAGCACAGTACCCAAATCAGCAAACTTAATATGGGCACAATATTATTATCTAATCCATAGTCCACACTGAGATTTCTTAAATTGTCTCAATAATTTTGTTAATAGCTAGTTTTTGAAAAAATCCAGGATTGTACACTGAGAAATCACATCTCACTAGTCTCTTTTCATCTGGACCAGTTCCTCACCCTTTGTTTTTCTACTTAAACTTGATACTTTTCTGAATTGTATAGGCAAGCTATTTCTCTCAATTTGAGTTTTTCTCATGTGTCTTCATTATTAGAATTAGTCTTCATTATTAGAATTTTTAACACAAATATCACTGAAGTGACAGCATGTCCTGTTCAGAGCATCATCACAGCAGGCTCATGATGTTGGTTTGTGCAAATACAGTTGATCTTAAGATCAATAAAATCACTGGTTATGGTGGTGTCTGACAGGTTTTTCTACTACAAACTTTACTGTTTTTCAGTTTGAAATTAACTAGAAAGTTGTGAGGAGATATTTTAGACTATTTTAGATATTTGTACATATTCTGTTCCCCATCAAATTTTTATCCACTAGTTTTTGCAATCATTTATGTTTTTCTTAACACCGTCACCCCTTCTATATTTGTTAATTAGGGATCTACTGTAAGGAATAGCTTTATCTTCACCATTCATTTATTTATTCTTTTACTTTTTATATCAGTATGAGCTTTATAATTCTTCTTTTGTTAAATTCATTACTACTAATGGTTAAATTGTCCTACAATTAAATGATGGCAAGCCCTTCAAACTGGCTTTTATTTTTTATTCATGTGTGCTGATATTTTTGGATCATTTGTTTACTCGTTTTTTGAGTTTACCTTTCTTTTTTTTCTCTCAGGTAATAGGAAATGAATGATGATGGAAAAGTCAATGCTAGCTCTGAGGGGTACTTTATTTTAGTTGGATTTTCTAATTGGCCTCATCTGGAAGTAGTTATCTTTGTGGTTGTCTTGATCTTCTACTTGATGACACTGATAGGAAACCTGTTCATCATCATCCTGTCATACCTGGACTCCCATCTGCACACACCAATGTACTTCTTCCTTTCAAACCTCTCATTTCTGGATCTCTGCTACACCACCAGCTCTATCCCTCAGTTGCTGGTCAATCTCTGGGGCCCGGAAAAGACCATCTCTTATGCTGGTTGCATGATTCAACTTTACTTTGTTCTCGCACTGGGAACCACAGAGTGTGTCCTACTGGTGGTGATGTCCTATGACCGTTATGCAGCTGTGTGTAGACCTTTGCATTACACTGTCCTCATGCACCCTCGTTTCTGCCACCTGCTGGCTGTGGCTTCTTGGGTAAGTGGTTTTACCAACTCAGCACTTCATTCCTCCTTCACCTTCTGGGTACCTCTGTGTGGACACCGCCAAGTAGATCACTTTTTCTGTGAAGTTCCAGCACTTCTGCGATTATCGTGTGTTGATACCCATGTCAATGAGCTGACCCTCATGATCACAAGCTCCATATTTGTTCTCATACCTCTCATCCTCATTCTCACTTCTTATGGTGCCATCGTCCAAGCTGTACTGAGGATGCAGTCAACCACTGGGCTTCAGAAAGTGTTTGGAACATGTGGAGCTCATCTTATGGCTGTATCTCTCTTTTTCATTCCGGCC
>NT_167247.2:398830-486005 GCF_000001405.40 Homo sapiens
GGCCATTTCTTGCCAATTATGAATTTTAAAATACAGTCTTAATTATAATATGATATAATGTTCATACTAAGAATTGTGCTCATGCAAATTGAACGTATTAATCAGAAAATAATTTATGTTAACATATTCCTTAGTTCATATAGAAAAGCCACATAATACCTATATACTAACAAAGCTATTGATGTACATAGATGACCAGTCAAAATTACTTATTAATAGCCTTATAATGTGACTTGTCAGATGTGCCCATTTCCCTAAGAGTCACATAGTGAATTCAGATTCAGTCATTAGTTGGTACTCTTTCTAGCAAAATAGCTTCTATGGATTCAAGAAAGAAATGATTAGAGGATTTGCTGCACTTAAGAATTTGAGATCTGAGATAATGAATCCCCTGAGATAGAAGAAGATGATGTCCCCATGGTGCAGTTAACTCTACTGTTTGCTCAGTGGAAGGATATTGGAATCATAGCAAAGGGAGAAATTCCAGAAGCAAATTTTAAAGCAGTTTCTCTGCAAAAACATTTGAATCCTCTCTATTGCCCACTGAGCCCTGCCTCCTCACTATCCTAATGCAGACAGCATATCACATATCACATATATTAAAACAACCTTAAGTTGGACACTTATCAGTGTTTCTTATAAATACTATTATTTTACTTTGAAGAGTTTTTCTGGGGAAAGGGGATTACAGACTCTAAGACTTAGAAGTGTCTGCAGAAACTACTGTTGTCCACTTCCCAATATTAATTCTTGTTAAAATGTATATTATATATCATACTAAGTATGGTATGCATAAACCCTTTATCTTAATATAACATCATGTTAAATTGTTGGATATCTTTAATGTCTCCAAAAAAGAAATGCTAAAATTTCATTTAGATTTATCCTTTATAAATAAAATTTTTGATAACAATTAATTCTCTTTTTGCAAGTAATGTCTTTTTTTTTTTTTTTTTTTTTTTGAGATGGGAGTCTCACTCTGTTGCCCAGGCTGGAGTGCAGTGGCACAATCTCCACTCACTTTAACCTGTGCCTCCCAGGTTGAAACCATTCTTGTGCCTTAGCCTCTCAAGTAGCTGGGACCACAGGCACATGCCAACACACCTGGCTAATTTTTATAATTTTAGTAGAGATGGGGTTTCACCATGTTGGCCAAGCTGGTCTTGAACTCCTGACCTCAGGTGGTCTGCTCATTTTGGCCTCCAAAAATTCTGGGATTATAGGCGTGGGCCACTGCTCCCGGCCAACTGATGTCTATTTCTTCTTGTAGATAATTAGTAACATCTTCCGCGGAATTTGACTTCAGTTTTTCTAGAGTCCTTTTAACTTCTGTTTCAAAAACTACTTTCCTTGATATTAAAGTCGTTGAAATAATCTACACCTTCTGCTCAATCCTGCAGACTTAAAACATCATCACCACTGTCTTTGGCTCATCTCTTTCCCAGAGGACACACATTTAACAAAATTTCCAAGTTAACCTCCTATGTTAATCTCTCACACTTCCCCCATCTTTTTCATTTTTACTTCTCTTATCCTACTAGAGAGCCTCATTATCTATTGCAAAGATTGTTGCAGTACATTTAACTAATTTCCTATGTTTTTGTACTCCAAGTGGTTTTTTACTTTGCTAAATGTAGTCATAAAATAAAGGTCTTACATTGTCTCAGGGTTTAAAATCCTTCAAGTTCTCATCTCCTATAGAAACACACATTCTTTAATATCAGCCTTGGTTCTGGTTCCTGGTTCTCATTCAACATAGATCCTCCTTTCAGTCTCCCATATTGCCCCATGGAATTTCAGATGGAAACATTGAATTCTTCATGATTTTGAATGTATAATTTTAAATTTCCATCATTTTTGCAAGTAGTTTGTTATAAGGTGGAAAAAGCATGAATTTTTGGTAATTGAAAGCTTTCAAATTCTAGTTCTGACGTACACTATGCAAGCTCAAGAATTAGTGAACCACATTTTCATTATCTATCAAATGTGGCTAATACATACCTTAAAGGGTTATTGAAAGATTAAATAAGACCATACATACAATATGTTTAACACTTTTACTAGCTCATGGCAGCTTTTCAATAGTTGTGAGTTCTCCTTTTTAACATGACTTTTTGATTATGATTATGATATTTCCTCAGCCAGTGATGTATTACTATATACTCCTATTAAATATTACAATTTTTATTTGCCTTTTGAAAATATTTTTAATTCTTCTTTGAGTACTTTAATTAGTCTTCTTTTTTCATTCCAAAGGCACATTCTTTTTTTTTTTTTTTTGCTTCTGTGTCTATATTATTATTATTTTTATTATACTTTAAGTTCTAGGGTACACTTGCACAAAGTGCAGGTTTGTTACATAGGTATACATGTGCCATGTTGGTTTGTTGCACCCATTAACTCATCATTTACATTAGGTATTTCTCCTAGTGTTATCCCTCCCCCTGCCCCCCAACCCATGACAGGCACCCGTGTGTGATGTTCCTCGCCCTGTGTCCAAGTGTTTTCATTGTTCAATTCCCACCTATGAGTGAGAACATGTGGTGTTTGGTTTTCTGTCCTTGTGATAGTTTGCTCAGAATGATGGTTTCCAGCTTCATCTATGTCCCTGCAAAGGACATGAACTCATCCCAAAGGCACATTCTTGAAGGTGCATGTTAGCACTTCTTGCCTTGCAGTTATTATGCTATGCAGATCTTAGGACATCTCTAATATGGAGAAAGCCACTGTTAAACCTTCTTGAGTTCTACCTTAAATATTTTTCCAAATACATTTTTAGTGACTTTAAATCTAGGGTTAAAATGCTTTGTTTTCTTCCATTTGTTATTTAGGAAAGGCCTACTTGCTTGGGGAAATAAGAACTTTAGATCACTTTCCTTGAAAGGCAATCTCAGAATTGCTCATGCTTTACACAAAAGGTAGAGCACGCTTTCTCTTTCAAGTATAATGCGTCCCTTCTCTTCTACAGAATTTTTCAAAAGTTGACTGAAGTATCCTTCATGCTGTAGCATACTGAGCAGTATATATTCCCTGGAAATGCAAAGTCCAAATAAAACCTTTCTGTGGGTTTTCCAGTCCACTGTTCTGAGTATTCTTTATTCTGAGATTTTTGCATATAATTCTTAGGAAATCCTGATTTTTCACTGTGTCTAGATTTCACTCATGCCTCTGAAATGAATGTTTTTTACAGGACTTGAAGGTAGTATATACATTAGCCAAGGACGGAGGATAATTTGAGAGAGTCAGATGAACTGTAATGGGTTTTTATAGCAAAGCTTTTGACAAAAATCGTTCTGTGTTTTGCCTTCAAAACTAGAAATTACTATATACTTCTGTATATAAGACTAAGTTAGACAAACTATACCTTAACTAATAAAAATGATCAAAGCTATTGTCTAACACCACAGAATTAGGTCATGTGTTTGTGTGTGCATGTGTATAAAATTTGAAAACATTTTTCTGGCAATCAACCAGAAATATGCCAATTTTTAAAGTTACTTAAATTTTTTTCCAAACTAGATATATAAAAGTTCAATGATTTGAGGATCTGTATCAGCACCAGATGATCTGTTATTTTTCAGCAAGTGTATCTGGTTTGCAGTTGATTCTTGTTTGAACTAACATGAGGTTTTCCTTCCAATTATTGGCTTAGATCTTGATCATACCAGAAGTTATGCCAGAAAAGTCCAAATGACCTTTTGTTTTTCTTACAAGTATTTACTTCTTCACTACACAACACCGTGTTGAACTCTCAACATATTAATTCAACACCAAGTAAATATAAAATCTATTCATTTGCTTTCATAAATTGTAACTAATTTCGTGACAAAGTTTTAAGTTTTGGGGTGTGAGTCCTAGAACTAAGTTTTAGCACTTCCAACTTTTAATGATACAGGTTTTGTACATCATTTGCATTTAACATTTACATCAGTAAAAAGACATATTGTTTGTTGAGGTAATCAAGTTGCTTTTTGTTCCAGAAATGCAAATTATTTTTTTCTCATACTGATTCTGATTCTAACACAGTTAGTTCCAAAAGGCATTCCTGGCTGTTCCAAATTGTGCACGGAAATGCTTCCAGGTTGTGTTTCATTATTAATATCACTTCCTTGTTATCTCACTGATTCGAAGACTCATTATTATAGTATGTAAAAGGAAAGTATCAGAAACTTTTTCATACTTTTTGTCCCACTATTCCACTCATTTCAAAATTTAATAATAAATTATTTAATTAAAAATACAAAATCACTGCATACTTATTTGTTAAAAAAGAATTACACTGAATTTTTAAGAAGCAATAGTATCTACATAAATTGGGGTTGATAAGCTTATGAGACTCATGATTATTCCAAAGTATAATGTGCTTCACATTGAATGCCCAGTGTAGCCACACTGCCCATTTAGACTTGGGACAACATGCAGAGAGTGATGGAATGTTTCTCAGGTGACTCTGACAGGAGGCTCATTGATGAGTGGTTGCTATACTATTTTTACAATTAGCTTGAACTAATAAATTCATTTTACTAATTTTTTTACTACTTAACACAGTTACTATCTCTGTATGTACCAACCAGTATAGAACTATTTTAATATATTTCCATAATATAATGTGCCTACTAGCCAAGTATAATCCTTGCTGAACATGTTTACAAAGAGTCTCGGAGACATAACATATTTTGCAAGAACATGTAAAGCGATATTTGATTATGAGACAAGAATTTGTTAGATAAAACCATAGCAACCTACTCTAACTGTTCAATAACTTCATTTTATGTCTACCCACTATCACTTAAAGCTGAAAATGCTCCTCACCAAGTTGCGTAATGCCCCCTTTACATTCTTATTCCGCAGGGTGTAGATAAAAGGGTTGAGTGAGGGAGTCACCACTCCATAGAAGAGGGCCATGAACTTGGGTTGATCCCTTGAGATGGAGGAGGGGGGCTGAAGGTACATGCTGATGGCTGGGCCATAAAATAAGAAAACTACAATAAGATGGGAGGAGCATGTCCCAAAGGCCTTTTTCCTTCCCTTGGAAGATTTGATCTTAAATACAGCACTTCCAATACTAGCATAGGAAGCAAGAATTAAGCATAGTGGGACAGCTAACATAAAAATGCATACCACAGAGAGTGTGAGCTCGTTAGAACCCTTTTCACCACAGGCAATCTTTATCAGAACAGGAATCTCACACACCAAGTGGTCCAGTTTATTGAGACCACACAGTGGCAATTGTAATGTGGCAGTGGCCTCTGAGACAGCATAGATTATTCCAATTAGCCACACGGTGGAAACTAAGGATACAGACGCGCTGATTCATGATGAGGGTGTAGTGAAGAGGTCTGCAGATGGCCACATAGCGATCAAAGGACATAATAGCCAAAAGCAAACATTCTGTTCCCCCCATTATGTGAAAGAAATAAAGCTGAACCGCACACCCCATATAGCTGATGGTCTTCTTAGAGCTTCCCAGGTTAAACAGCATCTGAGGGACAATGCTTGTGGTATAACACATGTCCAAAAAGGAGAGGTTGGTGAGGAAGAAATACATGGGGCTATGAAGACGAGAGTCTAACCTGGACATGAGAATGATTGTGATATTTCCCATCACGGCTATAGGGTACATTATAAGAAGACTAGTGAACAGAGGAAGCTCTAGCCAAGGGCGGTCTGCAAAGCCTAGCAGAATAAATTCTTCAGGGTGGCTTTCATTAGTTAGTGGCATTATCTTCAATTTGTTTCACCTGTAGTAGGGATATGCCAAAGAAGGTAGAGCTATGGGTATCGACAAAACATGGTGATGCATTGATTGTCTACTTATAGATGACAGGGTGCAGTAACCTGGGGTCAGAATAACATAAAACATCTGGTATCAGGTGATCTTATTTTCCTATGGGACACTACAAATTAAAGGCAGATATCTTAATCCAGTAACCCAACCATTCTGAAATGGAATTTCTTCTTCTGTGTAAGAAGGTTGACAATAACTACCATTCTTGAGTGAGGTGAGGATTAAATACAAAGTAAAAGTGACCGTATAGTTTTCAAACTTTGAGTTGCATAAAAATCAGCTGAGAAGGTTGCTAGAATGAAATTTATTGTTTCCTATCTTTAGGTGTCTGATAGAGTAAATGTGGCCTGGGGCTGAGGAACAGGATGGTTCATTTTCAGAAACAGTGCTGCAAGGCATTACTGAAATGCTAAGAAGAATAAACATATTGAGGTAGCAATGGTAGGAGAAAAAGGAGGAGAAAACCTGGAGTCATAAGAATCATCAAGATAGCATTGTCCAGCTCCAACTAGTTAGTTAAATAATCATATCATCTCCAAGGGAGGCAAGAAGACTTTTGGATTTAAATCTATCTCAGCGATTTGAAATTGAACAAGAAAATTAAATACTTTTATTGTCTGTTTTCTCAAGTATAAATTGAGAGAGTTAACCTACAATGACAAAGTTTCCCTATGCTCAGGAATTCGATTTTGCATTCTTGGGCTTTTATTCATTACGATTTAGTTCAACCTTTGGGCATTTGATATTTTATGTTAAATTTTAGCTAACATCCATTTTGAAAAAAATTTTTTTATTCAATGAGATTATCATCTTGCTTTAATATAAGAGTTTGGATAGTTGTCATGACCCACTGATTGCACATAACTACAAATATGTCTTTTAGTTCTGAGTGACTGCAGTCAGGACAAAAGTTGATGTCCCAATTTAGGCTTAGAGACAGTCAAATCTGAAATTATTTTACATTTTCAAGACCTTTCCTTTTTTTTCAGCTAGACAGTACATTGATATACCAACCTCAACTAGTTTAGTGAAGCAGTATTTTGAGAAAGATTAATTTTTTGCTCATATGCTTTTCTTTTAGTGGTGACATGTGTTTTATGAATATCACAATTTTCTGCAGGATGAGAAATATTCGGTTGAAAAGTTAAGATAGCATCTCAGTGACAACATTCTGAGTAACTCTGCCAGTCAATTAGTTGTTTAATGGTAACAGATTACATTTATAAGTTTATAAAGCACAGCTTCCACATTCTCTGTTTCATTACATCTTCAAAGTCATCCTGTGAGGTGTCATACAAAGCTCCTCAGGGCTAACATGTGAATGTTGCCCTTTGATTATATGCTATCTCACGCCGGAAGTGTGCAAAACAATAATAACACTCTTTCCAACTAGTCCTTAGTGAACCCTCTGTGTCAAACACCCCCATATGCTTTCTACACCATTAAATCATTTAGTATCCATCCCCAAACGCTATGACAAAGAAAATTTTACTATCCATATTTTAAGATATTGTTAATCATTTGTTTCCATACTCTGCTAATGACTAAGAACATCCTAAAGATTGAAAAGTAATTGCTGCTTTAAATGAGGTAATAAAATATTGAGACTATAAACTCAGAGTTTCAAGAGCCCCAGAAAGCATCTGTACTCGAGGGTTGTTCCTGAATGAGTGTGACCCCCTTCACATTATTTGACCTTGATTTAATCAAGATGTTATATGAGTGCATCAAATTTAGAAATATGTCTTGGCCTGAGTGCTTTTTCAGATGAAAATCCGTATTGGAAATGAAAGATGAAATAAAGGCATGATATAAACTAATTTGATGTCAAAATAAATACAGTCATACATAGCTTAACAAGAGGAATATAGTCTGAGAAATGTATTGTTAAGTGATTTTGTCATTGTGTGAATATAATAGAGTGCACTTACACAAACTTAGATGGTATGGCCTAGTACACACTTATGCTATGTGATATAGCCTATTGCTCCTAGGCTACAAACTTGTGCAGCATGTTACCTTACTGAATACTGTGGACAATCATAATTCAATGGTAAGTATTTATGTATTAAGCGTATATAAAAATAGAAAAGGTACAATAAAATATGGTATAAAAGATAAAAAATGGTATACCTATATTGGGCACTTACCATAAATGGATCTTGCAGGACTTGAAGTTGCTCTGGGTGAGTCAGTGAGTGAATGGTGAGGGAATGTGAAGGCCTAGACCACTACTGTACACTACTATAGACTTTGTAAACACTGTCTATAGCCTACACTAAATTTACTAAAAAACACTTTTCTCTGTTTAATAATAAATTCATTTTAGCTAACTGTAACATTTTTACTTCATAAACTTCTTAATTTCTTTAACTTTTTGATTATTGAATAACACTTAAACCCATCATACAGCTGTACAAAAGTATGTTCTTTGTTTATATCCTTATTCTATAAATTATTTCTATTTTTTTAAGTTTTTTAACTTTTTTGTTAAAAATGAAGACACAAACACACACATTAGCCCAGGCCTACACAGGGTCAGGATCATCAATATCATTGTCTTCCAGCTCCTTGTCCCACTGGAAGGTTTTCAGGGGCAATAACATGCATGGAGCTGTCATCTCCTATGATTATAATAACAATATCTTCTTCTGGTATACTTGCTGAAAGACTTGTGTGAGGCTGTTTTACAGTTAACTTTTTAAAAATAAGTAGGAGTATAAAAAATCATAAAAAGTATAGTATAGCAAAAATATAAACCAGTAACATATTTATTTATCATCATCAAGTATTATGTACTGCACACAATTTTATGTGTTATTCTTTTATATGACTGGCAGTGCAGGTTTGATTATACCGTCATCACTGCAAACACTTGAGTAATGTGTTACATTATAACATTATCATGGATACAGTGTCACTAGGCAACAGGAATTTTTTAGCTCCATTGTAATCTTATGGGACCACTGTTGAACACATGCATGGTCAGTCATTGATGAAAATGTCATTATGTGGTGCATGCCTGTATTCTGAGAATTGCAAATTACATTATTAAATAATTTCACTATTAGATACCTGCTATCTTTATTTAACATTGTTATGTTCACCTTTTATATTTTTTCTACCAGGGACCATCCTTGAATTTTTTAAAAAGCAATTTTAGATTTGATCCTCCATGAATTCTTCCATAATTATAACTAATTATAACTACCTTTAATGACAATATTCACTCCAGTATGTCTTCCGCAATTTTATTAAATTTATATTATTTGGGATTTTGTTATTAACTTTATTAAGTATATTTTGTCTGTGAGTGGTGGTCACCCAGAGCTCCTCCATTTCTCTGGACATTTCCCTGAAGACATCAGACTAGGAATGACTAATCAATGTGATTTAATTTTGAAGTATATTTAAGCTCTGTAATTCTATTCTTAGATCTCATATTTTTTTCTCATGTCATTCTTGTATTTTATTTCTTTTAGCTTTGGGATTTTATCTGTCTTTTGGATCTTATACTTCAAGAAATGTTTCATCACTATTTTACTACATGGGGATTTACTTAATCACAAATGTTTAAAGCCACTTTATTAAAGTGCCAGACCCATGAGTTGAGTAAATTCCTCTCCTCATGGGGTCCCAAGATAAAGCAGGAATCCTTGGAATGTTAGAAAATGACATTCTTTACTTACCACAGGCCAGAAACCCTGTATAGGGACTGTGTAGGCAAGGTAGAAGGTCAGTTCCCCAAGGGGTTTTTATTGGCTCTATAAGTCAAGTTTCATTCCTTAAAGGAAAACACACCATTCCAGTCAAAGCCTTGGTAAAATAACCAATTTCTCCAACTGTGTCCTGCTACAAAAAAAAAAAAACAGATTCTTATTGCACTTATGCAAATAAATATATTGCCATCAGTTAAGAATACTCACAAATAGTCTCCAAATTCTGGAGAAATCAGGTAGAGAGAAACAAATATGGTCCATTTTTTTTTTCCACAGAAGTATACTTTACTCAATTGCTAAAGGCTGTAAATAGCTCAAAGTAAAAGTTTTCTTAACTCTGGAAAACAAAACAAAGGGTTAGCAACGTTTTAAGCAAAGTCAAAAAGATTAGTTTATTCTTTTAGCTTAGTTTATGCAGTTAACTCCTGTTCTGTTTGATATTCATGAACATTCCTGTTCTTCACAAGAGTTGCAAAAGTTGTTTCCTCTATTCTAATGTCACAATTTCCAAAGTTATCAGAAACCTGCATTTAAGAACATCCGTTAGAGTTGTATAGCTGACTATAAACCACCTTTTGAAGAGGATTAAAACAAGACAATTGTCTGTGTATGACAAAACTCGTTACCACAGCCACTGGCAAAAACGTGATTGACAAAGAAATTTTGGTAATGTATAAAATAATTATTCTTGTTCCACTTTATACAAATAATCAGGCCAAGTGCAATAAAGTAAATCAGTCTTATCATAATTTGTCTTCAGTAAAAATGAGAAACTGAAGTGAGAAAAATTATGTTTCAAGAAGTATGGTACACTTGTTATTAAATTCTAGTCTCATGAGTTGTTTTTAAGTTTGTTTCTACAATTTAGGCTAAACCTGCTTATTCCTGTGAACCAACCAGTGATCTTAGACTGTTACTCAGAAGATACAAGAGGTTTGGGTAATGTAAAAATCTGGACCAATATTCTAATCATGGGCACATATTGGAATCATCTGGCAACCCTGTATCAGCTTGGTTTTAACAGTTGCTCAGTTCATGGGAAGCCTTTAAATTTAGTTTACCTGGAATAATTTTACTTATTTTGCTTTGCTGCTGTGGAATACATTGCATTTGTACTCTTTGCATACGGATGCAGAATATGCTTAGTGAATGTTTTCTTAAATGGAACACTTATCAATCTTTCAGATAGCACCTCTTGTTGAAACTCAGAGTTATGAATGGCTCTCATCATACCAATGCTTTTTGACGAGCTCCTCTCTACCCCAAATACGAGAGACTCTAATTGTTAGGCAGGAATATCATTGCTCCTCTTAAGCCTGAAGAAGCTACAGAAGGAGATGGATCTTTGTCCCTCTCCAACCCTTAGGATTAAGGGTTCTCTTGTAAAGGGGAGGGAGGAAATGTCAGAGGCATGTGAGCCAGAGCAGCTCCATCTTGAATAGCAGCTGGGTAAAATGAGGTTGAAACCTACTGGGCTGCATTCCCAGATGGTTAAGGCATTCTAAGTCACAGGATGAGACAGAAAGTCAGTACAAGATACAGGTCATAAAGACCTTGCTGATAAAACAGATTACTCTAAAGAAGATGGCCAAAACCCACCAAAAACAAGATGGTGATGAGAGTAACCACTGGTCATCCTCGCTGCTACACTCCCATCAGTGCCATGACAACGTCAGGAAGTTGCCCTATATGGTAGAGTACATTTGTTTACAAATGCCATGGTAACATCAGGAAGCTACCCTGTATGTTCTAGAAAGGGGAGGCATGAATAATCCACCCCTTGTTTAACATATCATCAAGAAATAACCATAAAAATGGGCAACCAGCAGCCCTTGGGGCTGCTCTGTCTGTGGAGTAGCCAGCCATTCTTTTACTCCTTTACTTTCTGAATAAACTTGCTTTCACTTAAAAAAGATAAATAAAGTACCAGACCCTATTCCTGTTGATGTCTCCTGTTTTATCTCCACTTCCATCTTCATTCTAGTGTAGCTTATACTTCATTTTTACCATACACAATATTTTCTTTATATGTACTGCACTTGTAGACTTTCTATATAGTAAAAGATCATAAGAAGAAATAAAAGTTATTTTTATCTGACATTAGGAATCTGCATGAAACACACAGACAAATCAATCCATCCAATTTTGAACATATATTCTAAAAATCCACCTGATTGAAAGAAGGCTTCATATTTGTTTTGGGCATTTAATATTTCTCAGATATAGTGTATAAATCTCCCTCTCAGTCTCTCACTGAAACCAAATTTAAAATCATAATGATTTTAAATGGGTTTAATGTTTTTAAATTTGGTTTCAGTGAGAGATTGAGAGATAGATTAATTACAAAGAGAAATCTAGTTGCTTCTTAGAACCACTGAGCAGCTGTTTCCAAAGGTTAGAAAAGGCTCCCTGAAATGAAATGCTCTCTGCCTTTCAGATGTATATTAGGCAGTGGCAGTATGATCTACACATATTTCAATTTCCCTAAGAATGCATGGACTTGAAAACGTGCCTTTTTACTCACCTTTTGATAAATATCTTTCAATAAAAAGGAATTATGAAGGAATACACTTGAATTTTTCAAACGTTCAGAGGATGGATAAACTGTAGTATACATGAGTATTTAAGAATTAGCTTCACAACTTAGGTTTTCAATTGTTACAGGGTTCCAAAGAGAAGAAAACATGGGTTAGGAAGACAATAGTAGAAAATATCAGAATGCTTTGTGGATGTGTTATTTGTAAGCTCTTCCTGAGACCTCTTGGGCATTGTTTTCCAACAGGCCATTAATCCTTATCCCAGATGAGGAGTTAGCAGAGAAAATTCCTTGGGACAGAGATCTCTATGGAAATGCTACTTATGTACAATTAGTTTCCTACTGAACTGAGGTTGGTAGGAAGTCTCTTCTGTTGTCAGATGTGTTTTAAAATACATTTACTCAATTTCCCAAAACAGTAGACACTAATTTTAAATGAGATGCAATTAGAGATGAGCTAGTTTGAATAAATGATTCTGGGGAACTTAAATGAGAATTCCCTGAATACCTTACCTCATTAACTTCTAGACTACCTCACATAAAATTTAATCATTTCTAGTTGTAAGAATAAAGGGGCACAAAAATGAGTTGAAAAGGAAGAAAGATAATAAAAAGATATTTCCAATGAGAAGGAATCAAGTGATAGTTTAAAACATTTCATAATATTTAATGCTTTCATATTAAAATGATGAAATGATAATTTCTTCACTCTCACCAAGCACATACCACATAACATTAGGCAGATACACAGATAACTTTGAGATTTTAAAAATTACATACAAAATGCATAAATACATTATGTTGAAAAACAAATTCAAGTGCATGGGATAGCAAATACAAATTTAAAGGGTTTTTTTTTTAAGATGGAGTCTTGCTGTGTTGCCCAGTCTGGAGTGCAGTGGTATGATCTCAGCTCACTGCAACCTCTGCTGTACAGTTCAAGCGATTCTCCTGCCGCAGCCTCCCAAGTGGCTGGGATTACAGGCATTCCCTTTGATGACCTACTGTCATGGTCTGTTGTCCCTCTCCTTTCTTTAAAGGTAACCGTTAGTGTCATAAGGGTGTGCATCTTTCCACATTACATATGTGCTGGATATTTTCCACTCCCCCTTCCTTCCCCTGCCCCAGATTCACTCTCTATCCAACCATGTTTGTTTCTACCCTGTGTTGTGCCTCTAGAGGCGAAATCAAGAGAATTCCATGATATTTGACTTCTGGTTGTGTTCAGCCAATGAGTCACCAGCTGAGGATTAGAGTGAGGCAGCAGCTAGTTTGAAGTATTTTCCCCTACCCTCTCCTTCAGATGGGACAAATGAGGCTACTTGTATTGCTCAACCAAAGATCACAGGTCATGGATGTAGCCACGTACAGGTTCTCTCTCTTTCTGCTTTGTAATAGTACTTTCTCCCTTTGCTACTTCAGGCCTTGTGTTGGTTGCTAAGCCTCCCAACTGTTGCTAGATTCAGAGTAGTCCATATATAATACATATACAGAAATCCCTTGTTGATGTTCCTAAATCCTTCTCACAACTTTGTATTTACTTCTTTTGTTAAACCTCTTTCAGTTCCCATAGGAGCATGCCATCTATTTTCTGCTGGGACCATAGGTGACTGTAACTTTCCATTACAAACAAAGGTCATTTCCTGCTTTAGGACTTTTGAATTAGATGTTTTTAGGTCTAAAATGCTCTTTCTTTGATTTTATCACGACTGGCTCCTTTCTGTGTTTCAGGTTGATCTCAAATGTCACCTAAGAAGGAATATCTAATATGAATATACTACACAGTATCTCTATATCATATTCTCTTTTAATTTTCTGCAAAAGAATGAAAGCTTTCTTAGTTATTTTGCTTTTGAAGTCTCCCCCTCTAGTATGCATAGTTTTTGACAATAGCAACTTAAATAATACAATTAAATCATCTTGAACATATTGTTACTTGATTTTTACATACATATGTACACGCACACACACGCACACACACTTTTTGTCATTTCAGAGACAATGACTGATAAAGGAATTTTTTTCTTTTAAACACATCTCTAGCTTATCTACTTTTGCTGAATTCCATAAACTTTGGTATGTTGTGTTTCTATTTTCATTCTTTGCAAATTATTTGCTATTTTCCCTTGTGATTTCCTCTGAGCCATTCATTATTTAGGAATGTGTTGTTTCATCGCCACTTACTTGTGTATTTCACAATATTTTGCCTGATATTGATTTCTAATTTTATTCCATTGTGGTTAGAGGACATCCTTTACATTATTTTAATCTTTTAAATGTATTGTGATTTGCTTTATGACCTTATAGACTAATCTGTAGAATGTTTCATGTGCCCTGAGTAATATATGTATTCTACTACTATTGGGTGGAGTTTTCTGTAGAGGTCAATTAGCTGTAGTTAGTTTATAATGCTGTTCACATCTTCTATTTCCTTGTGGACCTTTATCTAATTGTTCTATTGTTATTGAAAGTGGGATGCTGACATTGAACTATAATTATGGAATTATCTATTGCTCCAAACAGTTCTGTTAGTCTTTGTTTTATGTAGTTTGGAGATCTGCTGCAAGGTGCATATGTACTTATAATTGATGTATCTTCTTGATGGACCAGCGATTTTATCATCATAAATTGTCCTTCTTTGTTTCCAGTAATAATTCTTGTCTTTTTGTTGATATTGTGTAATATCAGTATAGCCATCCATTAGCACTCTATCTTGCTTACTCTTTGAATGGAATACTTTTTTCATCTTTTCAGTTTCAACCTATTTGCATTTTTGAATCTAAAGTGAATATATTGTTGACAGTATATCATTGGATTGTCTTTTTAAATAAACCTTGTCAATCTCTTCCATTTTTTAAATGAATAGACTATTTTTCAGAAGCTTTAGGTTTACAAAAAATTGAATGGAAGGTGTAGAGAACTCACATGTAACCCCTTTTACTCCCTCCCCCAGAGTTTCTTTTATTATTAACAACTTGCATTCATGTGGTACATTTGTTATAATTGATAAGCCAATATTAATACATTATTAGTAACCAAATTCCATAGTTTACATTAGGGTTGATGGTGTGTGTTTTACATTCTATGGGTTTTGACAAATGTTTAATAACATGTATTCCCCCATTCAGTATCATAAAGAATGGTTTCACTGCCTTAAAAATTCCCTGTTCTCCTTCCATTCATCATTTCCTCCCCTCCTCCCCGGGAGCCCCTGACAACCACTGATTTTTTATTGTTTCCATAACTGTGCTTTTTCCAGAATATCATACAATTGAAATCATATATAATGTAGACTTTTCTGACTGGCTTCTTTGACTTAGTAATATGCATTTAAATTTCTTCCAGGTCTGGGCTTTACAACTCATTTTTTATAATTGAATAATATTCCATTCTATGAATGTACCACAGTCTGCTTATTCATTCATTTATTAAAGGACTTTTTTTTTTTTTTTGCTTCCAAGCTTTGGAAATTAGGAATAAAGCTACTGCAAACATTTGTGTACAGGTTCTGTGTGGACATAACGTTTCAGATTATTTGGGTTAATACCAGGACACGTGAGTGCTGGATTCTATGGTTAAGATGTTTAGTGTTGTATGAAACTGTCCAGTTGTCCTCTAGAGTGGTTGTACACTTTTGGATTTCTGTAATCAGTGAATGAGAGTTCCTGTTATTTATCTCTTTGTCAACATCTGATGTTTTCAGTGGTTTGCTATGGTTGATAATGTCTCAGATTTCTTTAGGCTGTTTTATTTTTCTTCATTCTTTTTTCTTTTTATTACTCTGACTAGATAATCTCAATTGACCTATCTTGTAGTTTGTTGATTCTTCCTTCTGCTTGTTAAAATCTGGTGTTCAGGTCTTCTGCTGCATTTTTTATTTCCATCACTGTACTTTTTCATCTCTAGAATTTGACTTGGTTCTTTAACAACAAATAATGTCTATCTCTTTAATAATTTTCTCTATTTAGTGAGAAATAGTTGTCATATCTTCCTTTAGTTCTTTAAACATGGTTTATTTCAGCTCTTTGACCCTATTTTTAAAGTAGCTGATGTAAGCCTTTGTCCAACAAGTTCAACACCTAGATTTGCTGCTATTGATTGCATTTCCCCCTCCTTTTATGACCCATACTTCCTGTGTCTTTCTTCACTTGTATTATAATTTTATGTTGAAAACTAGATACTTCATTTCATTTATTTTTATTTTTAAAACTTTTATCTTAAGTTCAAAGGTACATACGCAGGTCATGGGGGTTTGTTGTAGAGATTATTTCATCACCCAGGTATTAAGCATAGCATCCATTAGTTATTTTTCCTGATCCTCTCTGTCCTCCCATCCTCCACCCTCCACCAGGCCACAGTATGTATTGTTTCCCTCTATGTGTCCATATGTTTTCATCATTTAGCTCCCAGTTACAAGTGAGAACATGTGGTATTCAATTTTCTGTTACTGTGTTAGTTTGCTAAGGATAATGGCCTCCAACTCCATCTATGTTCCTGAAAGGGACATGATCTCGTTCTTTTTTATGGCTGCATAGTATTCCACGGTGTGTATGTACCACATTTTCTTTATCGAGTCTATCATTGATGGGCATTTAGGTTGATTCCATGTCTTTGCTATTGTGAGTAGTGCTCCAATGAACATATGTATGCATGTGTTTTCACAATTGAACAACTTATATTCCTTTGGGTGCTTACCCAGTAATGAGATTGGTGGGTCAAATGGTATTACTGTCTTTAGAACTTTGAGGAATTGCCACAATGCCTTCCACAATGGTTGAACTAATTTACACTCCCACCAACAGTGTATACATGTTTGTTTTTCTCCATAACCTTCCCAGCATCTGTTCTTCTCTGACTTTTTAATAATAGCCATTCTGACTGGTGTGATAAGGTATCTCCTTGTGGTTTTGATTTGCATTTCTCTAATGATCAGTGATGTTGAGCTTTTTTCATATGATTGTTGGCTGCATGTATGTCTTCTTTTGAAAACTGTCGGCTCATGTTCTTTGCTCACTTTTTAATGGGGTTGTTTTTCTTTCTTATAAATTTGGAAAACTAAATATTTTAAATACTAGAAATGGCAACTGTGGAAACCAGATTCTCCCTGTCTCACTAGAATTTGTTGTTGCTGCTTATTAATGTAGTTGTTGCTGCTTATTAATGTAGTTGTTGCTTGCTTGTTTAGTGAATACTCCCAAATAATTCTCTACAGTCTGCCTTCTTTGTGGTGTAGGGCCATTAAAATCTGTACTCAGGTAGTCTAGTGGCCAGCAAATAATTGGACAGAAATTTCTTTCAATGCCTGGGACTAATAAATCTTCCAGTTTCTGTCAAAGACCTCTATGTTCATATTGAGGCATGACTCTGACACCTAGTCAGGCAGTTCACATCTCTACCTTAGCCTCCACTTACTTCTTCCTGAAATACTGAAGGTCAGCCAGAGACAAGAGTTTAGAATCTTCTCAGTTCTTGCTTGAGCATTTATAGAGTCCTGAATCTGAACACAGCCATATGCATATACATGAAATTCCTGGCATATGGCAAAGATTTTCAAAATCCCTATAGACATCCCATTCCTTACATTTTTTAAGCTCTTTTATTGCTTTATGGTCTGCCCCAACTTTTATCAATTGCTTTAGTCAGAAGTGAAGTTAAAGCAGTCACTTGAAATTATTTTCAACAAATACCTGCTGAGAAAATGCTTTTTGCATTGGTCGAGGTCTGAGTCATGGTCAAATACAGACAGACTCATGAATGAAGTCTTCCAAAAAGCCCCAGCCAGGTAAATTAAAGACATATCTTTATAAGTTTATACATATATCTTTATAAAAGGTATATAAAATATTTCACTTTTCATTCTTTTTTGGTATTTTGGTATTTCAGGAGATTTGATTTTTTTTGTTTTGATGCTTATATTTACACATTAGTCCCTCTTTTAGGCATCATTGATTGGTTTTCTAAAATGAGCACTATATTTATTTATTTATTTAATTTTTCAATATATTATAGTTGTACATATTTTGGGGTAGATGTGTTTTCTTACACATATACAATGTGTAATGATTAAATCAGAGTGATTATAATATCTATCACCACAAACACTTTGTGTTGTGAAAATTACAATTTTTTTCTAGCTATTTTGAAATATACAATATATGTTATGCTAATATTAATAAATGTTAGTTGTATTTTCTCTACTGTATTATCAAATACTAAAAATTATTCCTTGTATCTAACTCTATTTTTGTATCCACTAACAAACTCTTTTTCATCTGTTTTTCCTTGCATCCATTTGCAGACTCTGATAAGCACCATTCTACCCTTGACCTTCATAAGATCCACTTTTTTTAGCTCCTGCATACCAGTGAGAACATGATATATTTGTATTTCTGTTCATGGTTTATTTCACTTAACATAATGACTTCCAATTTTATCCATGTTGCTACTAATGAAAGGATTTCATTATTTTTTATGGTTGAATGATATTCCATCATGTATATATATTACATTTTCTTTATCCATCCTTCTCTTGCTAGACACTGGTGTTGCATTCTTTGTGTGTTTCTATAGGTGAAGTGAGGTTCTTTTTTTCTTTCCAATTTTTTTTTTGCTTTTTTTTATTTTTAATTTTTTTATTATACTTTAAGTTTTAGGGTACATGTGCACAACGTATTTCAGGTTCAAGTGGTACATGTGCAGGTTTGTTACATCAGTAAATTTTTTGTTATGGGGGTTTGGTGTACAGATAATTTTGTCACCCAGGGAATTAGCATTATACCCATTAAGTAGCTTTTCTTTTTTTTTAAACTTTAATTTTAGGTTCAGGGTACCTGTGCAGGTTTGTTATATAGGTAAATTGTGTGTCACATGGGTTTGGTGTACAGATTATTTTGTCACCCATGTAATAAGTGTGGTAACCAATGGGTTGGTTTTGATCCTCACCTCCCCCATCATAGGCCCCAGTTTCTATTGTTCTTTTCTTTGTGTCCTTATGTACTCAATATTTAACTCCCAATTATAAGTGAGAACATGCCATACTGGGGTTTCCATTCCTTCACCAATTTGCTTAGGATGATAGCTTCCAGCTCCATCCCTATTACTGCAAAGACCAAAGTCTCGTTTTTTATAGCTGCATAGTATTCTGTGGTATATATGTTTTCTGTATCCAGTCCACCACTGATGGACAACTAGGTTGATTCTGTGACTTTGATATTGTAAATAGTGCTGCACTGAAAATCTGCATGCATATTGCTTTATGGCAGAATGATTTATATTACTTTGGTTATACACCTAGTAATGGGATTGCTGGATCAAGTGGTAGTTCTATTTTAAGTTATTTGAGAAATCTCCAGACTTCTTTCTACAGTGGCTGAACTAGTTTTCATTTCCACCAGTGGTATATAAATGTTCCCTTTTCTCCACCACCTCACCAGCAAATGTTATTTCCTAACTTTTTAATAGTAGCCATTTTGACCGGTGTGGGACAATATCTCATTGTGGTTTTGATTTGCATTTCTCTGGTGATTAGTGATATTGAACTTTTTAATATACTTGTTAGATGTGTATATCTTCTTTTGAGAAGTGTCTGTTCATGCCATTTGCTCGTTTTAAAAATAGAGTTGTTTGTTTTTCACTTTTTTATTTGTTTAAGTTCCTTATAGATTCTGGATATTAGACCTTTGCCAGATGCATAGTTTGCAAATATTTTCTCCCATTCTGTAAGTTGTGTGTGTATTCCGTTGATAGTTTCTTTTGCTATGCAGAAGCTCTTTAGTTTAATTATATTCTATTTGTCAATTTTTGGTTTTGTTGTGATTGCTTTTGGAGTCCTCGTCTTGAAGTCTTCGTGAAAGTCGATGTCCAGAATGGTATTTCCTAGAATTTCTTCTATTGTTTTTATACATTTGGGTTGTACATTTAAGTCTTTAATCTATCTTGAGTTTATTTTTGTGTATGGTAAAAGGAACAGGTTCAATTCCAGTCTTCTACATATGGCTAGCCTGCTATGCCAGCACTATTTATTGAAGAGTTTCTGGCAGGCAGCAGGCAGCATATAATTTGGTCTTGTTTTTAATTCATTTAACCATTGTATGTCTTTTAAATAGAATGTAGTCTGTTTACATTCAATTTTATTTTTGATAGTTCATGCCTTAGTACTGCCATTTTGTTACTTGTTTTCTAATTTCGTAATTCCTCTCTTCCTTCCTTCCTTCCTTTCCTTCCTTCCTTCCTGCCTTCCTCTCTTTCTCTCTTTCCCCCTCTCCCTCCCCTTCCCCTTCCCCTTCCTTCCTTCCTTCCTTCTTTCCTTTTTTCCTTGTTATTTTCCTCTGGTAGTATGTTTTAATTTGTTGCTTTTTATTGTTAGTGTATCCATTATAAGTTTTTGCACTGTGGTGTCCATGAGGCTTACAAAAAGTATCCTATAATATAACATGTAGTATAAAACTGATAGCAACTTAACTTTGCTCTCAAAAATAAAAACAAACTTCCAACTAAAAACTTATACACATTAACTCCATTCTTCACCCATATTTTGAATTTTGATGTTGCAATTTACATTTTTTATATTGCCTATCTCTTAAAAATTGTTGTAGTTATTATTTTAAATTGTTTTTAGTTTTCTTACTAAATAGGTAAGTGGTTTAAATATAATACTTCATTTTTAGTATGACAATCACATTAACATTCTTTCAGTTTGGTGAACTTCCTTTAGCAGTTCTCGTAGGACAGGTTTGGTAGTGATAGAATGAGCATTATTGAAATAGTTAATAACCTCTTCTTTCCTCCATTTCTCCAGCATCTATTTCAAAATGACAATTGATACAATATGTACTTTTTATTTATACAATATATACATACATACTTTTTACACAATTTATTTATACAATATATACATATTTATACTCTATATATATACAATTTATACAATATATACTTTTTAAAAGTTTGGAATGTTGTTATCCTCCTCTAGATAGAATTTATTTTTGCTTTTGGGAAGTAATTAAAGTAGGAAAACATCCCTAATTTTGAATGGGGTGGATAGAATTGGGTCATACATTGCTGGTAGGAGCGTAAAATGACACAGACACTTTGGAACACTGTTTTGTGGTTTCTTTAAAAGTTACACATACCTTATGGCCCATTCATTCAACTCTTAAATATCTGTTCAAGAGAAGTAAAAACATTTGCTCAAATGAAGACCTGTGCTGAATATTTATAGCCACTTTTTTCAAAATACTGTGGCGAAAACCTAGAATTACTGTAAGTATCTGTCAACGGATGTAATGAATAAATTATACTATATCCTTATTATTGAACATTACTAGTAATGAAAACAAAACAATGTGCTGGCCTGCAACCATTTTAGATGAATTTCAAAATATTTTTGCTGAATGCAGAAAGCAAGACTCAAAATAATACACACTATGTAGATCTATCACTAAGAATTCAAGAACATGCAAACTTATCTATGAGGGCATAAATTAGAGTAGTAGTTGACTAAGTCTGAAATCAAAAGACAAAATAGATTTTGGAGAGTGATGGAAATGTTCTCTACCTTGATTGAGGTATTGGTATCATGGGTATATACAACTATAAAAATACTGACTTGCATACTTTAAATTATGTAGTTTATTTTGCATATGCTATCATCAGCAAAGGTGATTATATACTCTAGATTGCAGTCATTTTTAGGGCTGGCCTATATTCAGTCTATGGTTATTCATAGGTTGCAGCCATTCACCCATTCTAGCTGAAAGTCTTGGGTATTTATATGGGCCAAAATTTCCATTATTTGTCTCCCCAGAAATGTAAAATCATATAAGCCCTGTTTCTTAGCCTCTTAGTCACCAGATTCTGTTCTGATGTATAGCTGGTGCAAAAAACAAATATCTTT
Source organism: Homo sapiens (assembly GCF_000001405.40). Classification (NCBI taxonomy): domain Eukaryota; kingdom Metazoa; phylum Chordata; class Mammalia; order Primates; family Hominidae; genus Homo; species Homo sapiens. Next base: position 420,769 of record NT_167247.2, read on the forward strand.
TTAAAAATATTTTTATTATACTTTAAGTTCTAAGGTACATGTGCACAATGTGCAGGTTTGTTACATAGGTATACATGTGCCATGTTGGTTTGCTGCACCCATCAACCTGTCATTTACATTAGGTATTTCTCCTAATGCTATCCCTCCCACAGCTCCCCACCCTCTAACAGGCCCCAGTGTGTGATGTTCCCCATCCTGTGTCCAAGTGTTCTTATTGTTCAATTCCCACCTATGAGTGAGAACATGTGGTCTTTGGTTTTCTATCCTCGTGATAGTTTGCTGGGAATGATGGTTTCCAGCTTCATTCATGTCCCTGCAAAGGACATCAACTCACCCTTTTTTGTGGCTGCATAGTATTCCATGGTGTATATGTGCCACATTTTCTTAATCTAGCCTATCATTGATGGACATTCCAAGTCTTTTCTATCATGAATAGTGCTACAATACACATATGTGTCCATGTGTCTTTATAATAGCATGATTTATAATCCTTTGGGTATATACCCAGTAATGGGATCACTGGGTCAAATGGTATTTCTAGTTCTAGATCTTTGAGGAATCACCACACTGTCTTCCACAATGGTTGAACTAATTTACGTTCCCATCAACAGTGTAAAAGTGTTCCTATTTCTTCACATCCTCTCCAGCATCTGTCCTTTCCTGACTTTTCAATGATTGCCATTCTAACTGGTATGAGATGGTATCTCATTGTGGTTTTGATTTGCATTTCTCTGATGACCAGTGATGATGAGCATTTTTTATGTGTCTGTTGGCTGCATAAATGTCTTCTTTCAAGAAGTGTTTGTTCATATCCTTTGCCCACATTTTGATAGGGTTGTTTATTTTTTTCTTGTATATTTGTTTAAGTTCTTTGTAGATTCTGGATATTAGCCCTTTGTTAATTGGGTAGATTGCAAAAATTTTGTCCCATTCTGTACATTGCTTGTTCACTCTGATGGTAGTTTCTTTTGCTGTGCAGAAGCTCTTTAGTTTAATTAGATCCCATGCATCTATTTTGGCTTTTGTTGCCATTGCTTTTGGTGTTTTAGTCACGAAGTCTTTGCCCATGCCTGTGTCCTGAATGGTATTGCCTAGGTTTTCTTCTAGGGTTTTTATGGTTTTAGGTCTAACATTTAAGTCTTTAATCCATCTTGAATTAATTTTTGTATAGGGTGTAAGGAATGGATCCAGTTGCAGCTTTCTACATGGTGGCTAGCCAGTTTTCCCAGAAAATATTATAAACAACTCTATGGAAATAAACTAGAAAATCTAGAAGAAATTGATAAATTCCTGGACACATACACCCTCCCAAAACTAAACCAGGGAGAAGTTGAATCTCTGAATAGACCACTAACAGGTTATGAAATTGAGGCAATGATTAATAGCCTACCAACCAAAAAAAGTCCAGAACGAGATGGATTCACAGCCGAATTCTACCAGAGGTACAAGGAGGAGCTGGTACCATTCCTTCTGAAACTATTCCAATCAATAGAAAAAGAGAGAATCCTCCCTAACTCATTTTATGATGCCAGCATCATCCTGATACCAAAGCCTGTCAGAGACACAACAAAAAAAAAGAGAATTTGTATTTCTGTGGGATCAGTAGTGATATCTCCTTTATTATTTTTTAATAGATCTATTTGATTTTTCTCTTTTCTTCATTATTAGTCTTGCTAGCAGTCCATCAATTTTGTGGATCTTTTCAAAATACACCTCCTGGATTAACTGATTCAGATTTTCTATTTTTTCATGATTCATTGTTGTTATGTTTCTAGAAATCTAACCATTTCTTCTAGGTCATCCTATTTGTTGGTGTAAAATTGTTCGTAGTATTCTTTTATGATCTTTTGTACTTCTGTAGTTTCAATTTTAATGTCTCCTCTTTCATTTCTTATTTTGTTAGAGTCTTCTTTTTTTTCTTAGTTGGTCTGCTAAAGTTTTGTCAATTGTTTTTATCTTTTCAAAAACTGAACTGTTAGTTTTGCAAATGTGTTCTTTTGTTTTCTAGTCTCTTACTTATTTCTGCTCTGATCTTTGTTATTTCCTTCCTTCTGCTAACTTTGGGATTAGTTTGCTCTTCTCTTTTTCTAGCTTCTTGAAATGTAACATTAGGTTGTTTGGGATCTTTCTTCTTTTTTAATATCGGCATTTATTACTATAAACTTTCCTCCTGCTAAGAACTTCTTTTGTTACATCCCATAAGTTGTGGTACGTTGCATTTTCATTTTCATCTGTCTTAAGATATTTTTTAATTTCCCTTTTGATTTCTTCATTAACCCTTTGTTTATTCAAGAGCGTGTTGGTTAATTTCCACGTATGTAATATTTTCAAATTTTATTGTATTATTTATTTCTATTCATTTCTACTTTCATACTTTTGTGGTCAGAAAAGATACTTGATATGATTTCAGTCTTCTTAAAACTGTTGAGTCTTATTTTGTTACCTTATTTGGATAATGTCCCATTTGCACTTGAGAAGAATGAATATTCTGTTGCTGTTGGATGGAATGTTCTATATATGTCTGTTAGGTCCACTTGGTCTAAAGTGTATGTCAAGTCCAGTGTTTCCTTATTGATTTTTGTCTAGATGATATGTCCACTGTTGAAAGTAAAGTATTGAAATCCTCTGCTATTATTGTATTGCAGTCTATCTCTTTTCAGGTCTACTAATGCTTTCTTTATATGTATAGGTGATCTTATATTAGGTGCATATATATTTACAATTGTTAAGTCCTTTTCATGAATTGACCCTTTTATCATTACATAATGACCTTCTTTGTCTCTTTTAACAGTTTTGGACTTAAAGTTCATCTCATAAAAGTACAGCTACCCTTGTCTTTTGCTTTCCACTTGCATGAAATAATTTTTTCAATCAATGTGTGTTCTTCAAGTTAAAGTGAACCTCTTACAGGCAGCCTACGTCTGCATATTGTTTTTCAGTTTCTTTCCAATGCAAAGCATTTTAGTAGGTTGTCAAATATACAATTATTAGAAATATCTAAATATTACCTGTAAAAACTAGTATATCACATTAGATAATTCTATAAAATAAGGAAACACAAATCACACATTGCCACAACCTCTGCAGTCCAATAATATCCCCCGTTGATAGTACAAATTACAAATACATTTTTAAAATAAAGACATGATTTCGACATTTAAACCAAAGTAACTATGGCTAACCTAAATACATTCATTCATCAAGTACAATAAATTAAGCATTGCTACTTATAGTCACTAATAACAAAATTTTAGGTTCAATTTTACCTAAAATTTCATAAATCTTCCAATACAGTTCCCATAGTAAAGTGTCTTTGTGTGTGCCATTTTAATTTATATGCAGGTGCATCATATATCAGACTTAAGACTATTTCACTTCATAATTAAATTGTTCATACATATATATTGAAAGTGAACACCCGGCCAAAATTTAATCCCAATGATGACAAAATGTAAAATTGTTTTAAATTCTTGAATGCATATACTGATTTGTTTAATTGCCTGCATACTACTTTTTTTAATTAGAGACTATCAAAGTAAGTAATAAGAATTTAAATATTAACTCAAAAAAAGATGAAGCCTTCAACCTTCCTACAATAGTAACAAGCATTTTAAATAACAATACAAGGAGTCTGTAAGCTAAAAAGTAACTTCATATTCATTGCAAAACTTAAAATACCAGTGAATTGAAGATAAGATTGAGGTCTAAAATATTTGTACTGTATTGTAAAATACAATTTAAAATGTGCAGTTAATTTGCTTGTGGACATGTAATGGAATGTTTTTCAACAGTAATGTTATGTTAAACACACTTTAAATGGTCACTCTAAGCAAACATAACCTTACTAGCAAGAAAAGCGAAAAATTAAGGCTTTCATGCTATCTATATCTACTACACAAAGTCAAAAGTCAAATAGAGCTTACAATGTGGCAAAATATTTCTAACTTCTGTGACATTAGTTGCTTCACCTCAACTCAATACTTATCATCTTATCTTTATACAAACTCAAATGCTAGTTATCTTTACTATCCATAAATACAAATTAAACTAAGGAGCTTCCGCACAGCAAAAGAAACTATAAATAGAATAAACAGACAACTTACGGAAGGTGAGAAAAGATTCACAAACTATGCATACAACAAAGGTCTAATATCCAGAATCTATAAGGAACTTAAATCAACAAACATAACCCCATTAAAAAATTAACAAATGACAAAGGATGAACAGACACTTCTCAAAAGAAGACATAAAGGTGACCAATAAACATATGGAAAAAATTGTTCATCATTACTAATCATCAGAGAAACGGAAATCAAAACCACAATGAGATTCCATCTCACACCAGTCAGAATGGCTGCTATTTAAAAGTCAAAAAACAACAGATATTGCGGAGGCTGCAGAGAAACGCGAACGCTTATACACTGTTGGTGAGAATGAACATTAGTTCAGCCACTGTGGAAAGCAGTTTGGAGAATTTTCCAAAAGAACTAAAAACAGAGCTACCATTGGACCCAGCAATTCCATTACCGCGTATTTAGTCAAAGGAAAATATATCATTATACCAAAAGGACACACGCACTCATGTTCATGGCAGCACTATTCACAATAGCAGAGACATAGAACCAACCTAGGTGCCCATCAGTGGTGGATTGGATAGAGAGAATGTGGAGTTCCGGCAGAGACCCGGGTGAGACGCGCTGACCATGGGCCTGCGGAGGGGCTGGGGGTTCAGGACCTCCCGCAGCCTCTGCCCTGCAGGCTCCAGGTGCCCTCGCTGTGGCTCCCCTCGCGGGCCCAGGCCTGAAGAAGCCGCGAACCTCTCTTCCCTACCCCACCTCGGTGACAGATGGCAGCTCCTCTCTCAGCCCAGACCCCGCCGGCCTCCATGTCTCCCGGCCCAGCCCTGCGGGGCCTAAACTAAGCCCCTGCCGAGCTGCTAGGATGCAGCGCATTTGAGTGGCTGCGGGCGTGGGGGGCCGGGAAGCATGGTGACCGCCCCAACTCGCAGCGGAGGCCGTTAGGGTGTGGAGAGCGCGGGAAGGTGGGTCGCCTGCCACTGGGGCGCGGGCAGATCGGACCGCTCTGTCCCAACTGGTCGAGACCGACCTAGTCCTGACGACAGGAACAACGGCATTAACAACGGCCGGAAGGTGAGCAGTGTCCCAGACAACGACGGATAGCGGCCACCTGGCCACTGGTCTTCCTTCTCTACCAGACCTGTATGTGGGAAGAGAGAAGTGGTGGAACAACAGGCCACATTTGGCGCATTGGAGATGAAATTCTTGGTTGAAAATTCTTTTCTTTAAGAATGTTGAATATTGGCCCCCACTCTCTTCTGGCTTGTAGGGTTTCTGCAGAGAGATATGCTGTTAGTCTGATGGGCTTCCCTTTATAGGTAACCTGACCCTTCTCTCTGGCTGCCCTTAACTTTTTTTCCTTCATTTCAAGCTTGGAGAATCTGACAATTACGTTTCTTGGGGTTGCTTTTCTCGAGCAGTATCTTAGTGGTGTTCTCGTATTTCCTGAATTTGAATGTTGGCCTGTATTGCTACCTTGTGGAAGTTCTCCTGGATAATATCCTGAAGCTGTTTTCCAGCTTGGTTCCATTCTTCTCGTCACTTTCAGGTAAACCAATCAAACATAAGTTTGGTCTTTTCACATAGTCCCATATTTCCTGGAGGCTTTGTTTGTTCCTTTTCATTCTTTTTTCTCTAATCTTGTCTTCACACCTTATTTCAGTAAGTTGGTCTTCAGTCTCTAATATCCTTTCTTCTGCTTGATCGATTTGGCTATTGATCCTTGTGTATATCTTACAAAGTTCTCGTGCTGTGTTTTTCAGCTCCTCAGGTCATTTATGTTCTCCTCTAAACTGGCTAGTCTAGTTAGCAGTTTCTGTAACCTTTTATCAAGGTTCTTAGCTTCCTTGCATTGGGTTAGAACATGCTCCTTTAGCTCAGAGGAGTTTGTTATTACACACCTTGTGAAGCCTACTTCTGTCATTCATCAATCTCCTTCTCCAGTTTTGTGCCCTTGCTGGAGAGGAGTTGAGATCATTTTGAGTAGAAGAGGCATTCTGGTTTTTGGAATTTTCAGCGTTTTTATGCTAGTTTTTCCTCATCTTTGTGGATTTATCTACCTTTGATCTTTGAGGCTGATGACTTTGGATGGGGTTTTTGTGTGACGGTCCTTTATGTTGATGTTGACGTTGTTTCTGTTTGTTAGTTTTCCTTATAACAGTCAGGCCCCTCTTCTGCGGGTCTGCTGCAGTTTGCTGGAAGTGTACTCCAGACCCTGTTTGCCTGGGTATCACCAGCAGAGGCTGTAGAACAGCAAAGATTGCTTCCTGCTCCTTCCTCTGGAAGCTTCGTCCCAGAAGGGCACTGGCCTGATGACAGCTGGAGCTCTCCTGTGTGAGGTTCTGTCAACCCCTGTTGGGAGTTGTCTCCCAGTCAGGAGGCATGGGGGTTAGGGACCCACTTGAGGAGGGAGTGTGTCCCTTAAGAGAACTGGTGTGCTGTGCTGGGAGAATCCCTCTTGTCAGGATCAGCTGCTGTCTTCAGAGCAGGCAGGCAGGAACGATTAAATCTGCTTGTGCTGTGCCCACAGCCACCTCTTCCCCAGGTGCTCTGTCCCAGGGAGATGGGGGTTTTGTCTGTAAGCCTCTGACTGGGGCTGTTACCTTTCTTTCAGAGATGCCCTGCCCAGTGAGGGGGAATCTAGAGAAGCAGTCTGGCCACAGCTGCTTTGCTGCACTGTGATGAATTTGCCAGTCCATACCTCCGAGACTCCTTGGAACTGTCAGGGAAAATGGCCTACTAAAGCCTCAGTAATGGCAGACGTCCCTCATCCCATGAAGCTCAATTGTCCTAGGTTGACTTCAGACTGCTGTGCTGGCAGTGAGAATTTCAAGCCAGTGGTTCTTAGCTTGCTAGGTTCTGTGGGAGTGGGACCTGCTGAGCGAGACCACTTGGCTCCCTGGCTTCAGCCTCCTTTCCAGGGGAGTAAATGGTTCTGTCTCGCTGGGGTTCCAGGCATCACTAGGGTAGGAAAAATACTCCTTCATCTAGCTCTGTGTCTGCCCAAATGGCCACCCAGTTTTGTGCTTGAAACCTAAGGCCCTGGTGGTGTAGGCACACAAGGGAATCTCCTGATCTACAGATTGCAAAAACCATGGGAAAAGTGTAGTAACAAGCTAGGCAGCACTGTCCCTCATGGCTCCCCTGGCTCGGGGAAAGAGGTCCCCTGGCCTCTTGAACTTCCTGGGTAAGCAACTCCCCACCCTTCTTCTGCTTGCCCTCCATGGGTTTGACCTGCTGCCTAACCAGTCCTAATGAGAGGAACGGGGTACCTCAGTTGGAAATGCAGAAATCACCTGCCATCTGGATTGGTCTTGCTGGGAGCTGCAAACCAGAACTGCTCCTATTTGGCCGTCTTCGGCTTCATCCTTTTGTGTTTTTAAGAACAGTCCTCCCTGTGAATTTTACCAAAAAGTGTACTCAGTACAGTAGTTTACTAACTCTACTTTTGTCATACACTAGAAACATCTTAATATCTACAAAGACTAGATGTTGAAAATTAGGACTAATTTGTCCACTTATATGCACTATATACACAGCACAGTAAAAGAAAATGCAGACATAAGGGACAATGGTAAAGTGTGCCTCACCATAAACACACTGGTATTTGAATTACCCTTTGCCCTTTCTGCTCCTCTTTCCTCCCTGAGCCAACACACATATAGTAATGTGTACTGCTCAGATAAGTGGTTTGATCCATTTCCCAAAGACAATATTTCATATGAATCAAAAGGATATCTACAAAGTGTTATTTACTCCCTCTACTTTTAACATACTTTGTGCACTTCTAGAAAGACTAAATGTTTCAAATAAGGACTTAAATTTGTCCACTATATACACAGGTAACAATGGTTATATCTGAAAGTGTCTTCTAAATAGGAACATTCTGGTCTAAAATCTTTCATTCCTTCTAACTCCTCTCTACCACCAACCTAGTGGATATAGGCATATGTGTCATTTAGAACTGATGTTATCATTTCACTTCCAAAAGTCCTTTTCAGAAGATAGCCTTTCTATGAATTTCAACAAAGTGTACAAAAATAGAGTTAGTAAACTAACTCTCATAAATTGTTATAAATTGGCAACCTCTTTAATATCTAGAGACTAGACTAGATATTATAAAATTAAGACTACTTCATCCAGTATACACACAATATATACAGTATAGCAAAGTTAAATGCAATGCATGTAACATATAGGTAATGGATTAAGCTGAAATTTTCTAGTAAACATTAGCAAAACACTTTTTATTTTTTATTTTTTATTATTATACTTTAAGTTTTAGGGTACATGTGCACATTGTGCAGGTTAGTTACATATGTATACATGTGCCACGCTGGTGCGCTGCACCCACTAACTCGCATCTAGCATTAGGTATATCTCCCAACGCTATCCCTCCCCCCTCCCCCCACCCCACAACAGTCCCCAGAGTGTGATATTCCCCTTCCTGTGTCCATGTGATCTCGTTGTTCAGTTCCCACCTATGAGTGAGAATATGCGGTGTTTGGCTTGGATGAAATTGGAAATCATCATTCTCAGTAAACTATCGCAAGAGCAAGACACTTTTTGCAATATCTTCCTTCCAATCTCCCTCAACCCAATGAACATGTACAGAGAGGACGCTGTTCACAGAGGTGGTTCAACAATGCCAGTTCCAAAAAGTATTTCTCATTACTTTTAAAAGATATTTACAGAAAGTGTTATTCTACTACTTCTATTTTTAAATACACCAAGCACTTCCAAATATCTAGAAAGATTAAATATTTCATATAACTTGTCCACCATGTACATGGCACTGTTAAATAAAATTGCACACACATAACAACAGTTATAATCTGAGGTATCTTCTAAACATGACCATTTTGGCCTTGAAGTAGTCCTTCCTTTCTTCTCTCTGCCTTTATTTCAGTAGACAAGTATAGGCATGTGTCATACTTTAGAAATGGTTGAACAAATTTAGATCCAAAAGTTATTTACAGAAGACAAGGTTTCCTATGAATTTCAACACAAAGCTTACAAAAAGTGCTAATTTTACTAAGTACTTTGTCATACACTGCCAGCCTCTTTAACATCTAGAGACTAGATGTTGCAAAATTAGGACTCATTTGTTCATTATATGCGCTATATACAGAGCAAAACACAATGCACAAAACATACAGAAAAATGGTGCCTGAAAATGTGCAAGTATGAGCACACTAGCATGTTACCTTTTGCAGTTTCATCCGTCCCAGCTCCTCTAAACTACTGAGCAAGTATAGACAGTACTATACCACTCACAAAGATGGCTTAATAATTCAATTTCCAAAACACAGTATTTCCTATGAATTTCAGCAAAAAGACATTTACAAAGTGAAATTTTGCTACCTCTACATTTAACATACATCAGGCCCTTCTAAACATCTAAATAGACTAGCGGTTTCAGGTAAGAAGTTAATCTGTCCACTATGTACACTGCAGCCTTGAATAAACTGCATACATGTAACAATAGTTATAATTTGAAGGAGTCTTCCAAATGTGAACATTCTGGCCTAAAAATCTTTCCATCTCCATCAACCCAGTGGGCAAGAATGCTCAAGTTTTCAGAAGACAATCTTCCCTAGGAATTTAAAAACAAAATGTACAAAAATATTAGTTTACTAACTCTACTTTTGTAATTCACTGGCAACCTCCATAACATCTAGAAAGACTAGATGTAAATTAGGACTTGTTTTCCTCTATATACACTTTATACATAGATAAGTAAAAGAAAATGCACAAACATAAGATATAATGGTTAATCTTGCCTCACTGTAAGCACACTGGTGGCACAGAGCTCTCTGCACAGCCTCCTCCTCCTCCTCTCCTGAACTGGCGCATAATACAATGCATATTACTCAACTTGTGGTTTGGCCATTCCCCCTAAAACAATGTTTCATTCGAATTTTAACAAAAAGATACTTACAAAATGTGTTATTTTACTACTTCTAGTTTAAACATATATCAGGCACCTCAGAACATCTAGAAACACTAGACATTTCAAAAAAGTGTAGCATTGTCAATGATCTATACAGTAGTAGGGAATAAAATGCACACAAAACAATGGAAAGAATATGAGAATGTCTTCTGAATATGACTAGTCTGGCACAGAACCTTCTTCTTTTCCTTCTCAGGTCTTCTTCTTCATGCCCTCTAACCCACTGAACAAATGTGGTTGTGTCTGTCGTTCCTGGTATGGCTTCCAGAAGTGGTCCAACAATTCCATTGCGAAAAGCCATTTCCAGAAGACATCTATTTTCTATCATTTCTTTTTGAACAAATGAGAATTTATAAGATGTGTGATTTTCTAACTTTATCATACATCACAACCTCTTTCCATCTAGAAGGGCTAAATGTGGCAAATGTTTTCTATTTAAAAGTTGGGGCGGGGGCAGTTGAGAGCCGCTTTCTCACTTTACACACGCAGGGCCTTCTATAAACGGTGGTAATTAAATCTTCCCAAAGGGTAGTGGGCATCTCCAATACGCCAAATGTGGCCTGTTCCACCACTTCTCTCTTCCCACATCCAGGTCTGGTAGAGAAGGAAGACCAGTGGCCAGGTGGCCGCTATCCGTCGTTGTCTGGGACACTGCTCACCTTCCGGCCGTTGTTAATGCCGTTGTTCCTGTCGTCAGGACTAGGTCGGTCTCGACCAGTTGGGACAGAGCGGTCCGATCTGCCCGCGCCCCGGTGGCAGGCGACCCACCTTCCCGCGCCCTCCACACCCTAACGGCCTCCGCTGCGAGTTGGGGCGGTCGCCATGCTTCCCGGCCCCCCACGCCCGCAGCCACTCAAATGCGCTGCATCCTAGCAGCTCGGCAGGGGCTTAGTTTAGGCCCCGCAGGGCTGGGCCGGGAGACATGGAGGCCGGCGGGGTCTGGGCTGAGAGAGGAGCTGCCATCAGTCACGGAGGTGGGGTAGGGAAGAGAGGTTCGCGGCTTCTTCAGGCCTGGGCCCGCGAGGGGAGCCACAGCGAGGGCACCTGGAGCCTGCAGGGCAGAGGCTGCGGGAGGTCCTGAACCCCCAGCCCCTCCGCAGGCCCATGGTCAGCGCGTCCCACCCGGGTCTCTGCCGGAACTCCACATTGTCTCTATCCAATCCACCACTGATGGGCAGGCCTATGTCTCTGCTGTTGTGAATAGTGCTGCCATGAACATGAGTGCGTGTGTTCTTTTGGTATAATGATATATTTTCCTTTGACTAAATACGCAAGAATGGTATTGCTGGGTCCAATGGTAGCTCTGTTTTTAGTTCTTTTGGAAAATCTCCAAACTGCTTTCCACAGTGGCTGAACTAATGTTCATTCTCACCAACAGTGTATAAGCGTTCGCGTTTCTCTGCAGCCTCCGCAATATCTGTTGTTTTTTGACTTTTAAATAGCAGCCATTCTGACTGGTGTTAGATGATATCTCATTGTGGTTTTGATTTGCATTTCTCTGATGATTAGTAATGATGAACAATTTTTTCATCTAGACAGAAATCAATAGGGAAACACTAGACTTGACATACACTTTGGACCAAATGGACCTAAAGACGTTATAGAACATTTCATCCAACAGCAACAGAATATTCATTCTTCTCAAGTGCAAATGAGACATTATCCAGGATCAAATATTAGGTAACAAAATAAGACTCAACAATTTTAAGAAGATTGAAATCATATCAAGTATCTTTTCTGACCACAAAATTATGAAAGTAGAAATGAATAGAAATAAATAATAGGGGAAAATTTGAAAATATTACAAATGTGGAAATTAACCAACATGCTCTTGAATAAACAATGGGTTAATGAAGAAATCAAAGGGAAGTTAAAAAATATCTTAAGACAGATGAAAATGAAAATGCAACGTACCACAACTTATGGGATGTAACAAAAGAAGTTCTTAGCAGGAGGAAAGTTTATAGTAATAAATGCCGATATTGAAAAAGAAGAAAGATCTCAAACAACCTAATGTTACATTTCAAGAAACTAGAAAAAGAGAAGAGCAAACTAATCCCAAATTTAGCAGAAGGAAGGAAATAACAAAGATCAGAGCAGAAATAAGTAAGAGATTAGAAAACAAAAGAACACATTTGCAAAACTAACAGTTCAGTTTTTGAAAAGATAAAAACAATTGACAAAACTTTAGCAGACCAACTAAGAAAAAAAAGAAGACTCTAATAAAATAAGAAATGAAAGAGGAGACATTAAAATTGAAACTACGCAAGTACAAAAGATCATAAAAGAATACTACGAACAATTTTACACCAACAAATAGGATGACCTAGAAGAAATGGTTAGATTTCCAGAAACATAACAACAATGAATTATGAAAAAATAGAAAATCTGAACAGACTAATGAGTAAGGGGGTTGAATCAGTGATAAAAGTCTCCTACCAAAGAAAAGCCCAGAACCTGATGGTTCATGGATTGGAGGAATTAATATTATTAAAATGTCTGTGCTGCTGAAAGTGGTATACAGATTCAATGCAATTCCTATAAAAGTTCTAATGACCTTTTTGTTTCACAGAAATAGAAAAAGCAATTCAAAAATTCATATGGAATGACAAAAATCTTAAGTAGCTAAAGCACTTTTGAGCAAAAAGACCAGAGCTGGAGGCATCACACTACCTGATTAAAGATATATTACAAAGTTATAGTATTCAAAACAGAAAGGTACTGGCATAACAACAGACACATGGACCAATGTAATGTGATAGAGAGCCCAGACATAAACTCATGCATTTGTGATTAATTGATTTTTGCCAAAGATGCCAAGAATAAACACACTATGGGGAAAGGACAGTTTCTTTAATAAATGATGCAGGGGAAATCAAATACCCACATACAGAAGAATGAAATTGAACCCTTATCTCACACCATGTGTAAAAAGCCCACTAAAAATGGTTTAAAGATTTAAATGCGAGACCTGAAAATGTAAAACTACTAGAAGAAAGCATAGGGAAAAATGTCCCTGAAATTAATCTTGGCAATACTTTCTTGGTGATGATCTCAAAAGCTCAGGAAACCAAAGCAGAAGTAGACAAATGGGATTACCTGAAACCAAAAGCTTCTCTACAACAAAGTAAATAACAGATTGAAGAGACAACCCATGGACTGGGAGAAAATATTTACAAACCATACATGGCTAATATCCAAAATATGTAAGAAATGCAAACAACTTAAATTTGTTAGCAAGAAAACAAATAACGCCATTTAAAACTGAGCAATGGACTTGAATGGACATCTTTCAAAAGACCAATAGATATATAAAAAAGTGTCTACATCACTAATCATCAGGGAAATGCAAATTAAAACAAAACAAAGAGATATCACCTCATACCTGTTAGAATGACTATTATCAGTAAACTAAAAGGTAATAAGTACTGACAAGGATGTGGGGAATCCTTATATACTAATGGCAGGAAAGTAAATTAATACAGGCATTATTGAAATCAGCATGGAGATTCCTCAAAAAACTAAAGATAGAATTACCATAGGATCTAGCAATTATATTTCTGGATACATAGCCAAAGAGATTGAAATTTGTATTTTAAAAATATGTTGGAGACCAGCCTGACCAATATGGTGAAACCCCATCTCTACTAAAAATACAAAAAAATTAGCCGGCTGTGGTTTGCACCTGTAGTCCCAGCTATTCAGGTGGCTGAGACAGGAGAATTGCTTGAACCTGGGAGGCCAAGTTTGCAGTGAGCTGAGATTATGCCACTGCACTCCAGCCTGGGCTACAGAGCAAGACTCCATCTCAAAAAAAAAAAAAAATGGGTAGATTTTCCTCTAATTTGGTTTTAACGTCTCTCTTTGAAGAGTGGCTAGAAACTCTAGCCTGGCTCTGATGGGCTCCAGTGGAGGTGGTTGTGGTTGTGGATGTTTTCGGTGTTCTTTTCATGGAATACTTCCTTATCCTGATGGAGAGCTAATGCCTAATTGTCCTATTTATGACCAGGTGTCCCTCTCACTGGAAACTTGTTTTCACTGGCAGACACCATTGTGGCTTTTGTCTGACTAGTGTGTCCAGTTCATTCCTACCAAGATTGCCACTCTCTAAGGGAGCCTTGTCCAGAAAAAAAAATTAATTTCAGGTGTGTCAGGTGAGACGCCAAGAAGACACATAAAAAAAAATAGTATAAGTAGTTTTATTACTTAAAGATTCCAGAGAGAAGAGGGCAACTTGCCTCACAGGCCTAATGGGAGAAAGGGCATCCCTTAGAGACATGCATGTGCAACCAGTGGGTGGGTAGCGAGAGAGAGTGAGTGACAGACCAGAAAGCCAAAGCCCTTATTGGAGTACACAGCATTATCCAAGCAGGGAGTAACTGGTTGCTGGGTTTAGAGCAAGCAGGCATGATTTCTTGGGAGTTAAGTTGTATTGAGAGGTGTTCACTGCTGCAAATCTGCAGTCCATGTGGGGTGTGGGGATCAGTGGGATAAGTCAAGTAGGTTGTATCTAGGTGTCCCACACGGAGGTGGTAACCAAGAGGCCAAATATCTGGATTGACCACCTGAAGAAACTGGGAGAGGAGAACTCAAAATTGTGATAAGGGTGACTAAGTCCTGCTTCTGGCATGAGGAAGTTCAATTATATATTGAAAATGAACGCTGAGGTAACCTAAACTCATAAGAATTCACTACAGATATCTGCACTACCATGTTCATTGTAGCATTTTTCACAATAGCTGAGGTATGAAAGGAACCTAAATGTCCATCAACGGATAAACAGATAAATATATAAAAGGGATATAATGTGATATATATGAACCACATTATCTATATAAAATGGAATACTATTCAGCCTTAAAGAAAAAAGGGAAATTCTGTCTTTACAACAACATTCATGAACCTGCAGGACATTATGCGAAGTGAAAGAAGCCAGACACAGAAGGACAAATACCACATGATCTCACTCTTATGTGGAATCTAAAAAAGATAAACTCATACAAGTGGAGAGTAGAATGATAGCTACCTGGGGGGCAGGGGATGGAGAAAGGGGGGATTTTAAACAAGTAGATTTAAATGTTCTCACTATAAGAAAAATAAGTATGTGAGGTGATGACTGTGTTAGCTGGACTTAATCATTCCATATTGCACATATACATATATCAAAAGATCACATTGTACCTAATCAATATATAAAATTATTTGTCAATTAAAATAATAAAAGATTGGAGTAATATTTAAGATTTTTTTAACATTTTGCAGGAAAAATCTTGGAATTGAATTTAAAAGACAACTGGGAAGGCATAAATAATATAGGTCAGTCTCAAAGAGCCCCTCATTAATAAGGAACAGATATGCAGTTTAGTCTTTATGTATTCTAGTTTTTCAGTTGAATGACTCTCAAATCTCTCCTTTTTTTCCAGTTGTCTTGTACATTTGAGCCTTAGCCCCACGGGAAACTGAAAAAAAAAATCGGACGGCTCAGTAAAACCTCTTCCTTTCATTGTAAATGTTACTCACAGCATCTTTTCCCATGTTTGTTGGTGACAAATTCACTGTCATCTCAGTAAGAGTATAACATCATGCTGAAGATATTTCTGTGAAGAGTTTTGTACTGAGAACATCATACCAGGACAACTCCTTGAAGGGCATTAATTGCAGCTTTGGGATTTATACTCCCAAAGGCTGCAGTCAATGAAAGAGTATCCCGTTATTCTTTTTGTTTCCATAAAGATTACATTTGCTCTGGGATAAAGGGTCCATCCCGTGATACCTTGAATGCCCTAAAGTATTCCCACATTCTGCTAAAAAGCAGATCTTTTGGACAAACTCAGGCTCTCTTTTCTGTAGCAATGACAATCACAGTTATTTCCAGACTCTGTTCTTCATAGTTAGATTTAAAACATTGGCAAAAATGTTATAAGAAGGCAATTAGGTTGATGTTTTTAGGTTGTATGGCAACCAGAGAGCCCCTTCATCAGTTTATACCTGATGAGGTTGTAGGCCAGGTAGAGAGTGACAGGGAACAGGGACAAACACAGGAAGGTCAGTACTGAAAGAAGTTGGTGCACTTCTTAAGGGGTAGACAGCTTCCATATTTCAAAATTGCAGAAAGTGTAGATTTTAAATGTTCTTACTACAAAAATATGATGGTTGTGGGGTGATGGATATGTTAACTAGCTTAATATAATCATTCTATAATGTATATATACATCAAAACATTACAGTGTACTCCATAAATATATACAATTATTACTAGTCAATGAAAAATTAAGAAAACAAACCAGATATAGTATAAAGGAATGGATGTGACACAAATTGGCATAATGTCTCTTAATAATAATTGGGGAAGGAAGAGACACTCAGCCATCCATTTTCCCTATAGTATTTGATTTAAAAAAAGAGAGAAGATATTTTATTCTACAACTCATAAAAGCTACATTTGATAGGGTCTTCATTTCCCTCTTTTCCACCAAGAAGAAAATTGAAGCTGAGACTTTTCTCTACATGAGTTCTGGGGGTTTTTTTGTCCCTTATTTCCTATCCCTTTTATCAACTCCGGAGGAATGCTGAAAGATGGGTCATATAACAGATAGTTATCAGATTCCACCTTTTAATTACTGTAATAAGGAACTCAGGCAGCTGCATTCGGAAAGAAAATTAGGTCGGCATCAGCAAAAGTATCCACAGCATTTGAGTTCAAGTATCTTATGGCATATTACCTTTCATCTTAGGGAGATTTAAAAAAATCCTTGGAATTTTCCCATGATTTCTCAAAAGGTTAATGCTCATTCCATTACCAACAATATGGAAAAATGTACAGTATCTTTGTACCAGTCTGGAGCATTTGCACAGATTTGGCCCAAGTTCAATGTTCCTAGCTCTCCAGCTGTAACTCAACCAGTTAGGCAACTCCTTACATCTTTTTCAAGAGTCAAGATTACAATACTTGAGTTATTAAAAGTTTTTCAAAACACTGAAGGTGAGTCGGGTGTAGATATTAGTTTTTTGAGACAGAGTCTTGCTCTGTCACCCAGGCTGGAGGGCAATGGCATGATCTCAGCTCACTGCAACCTCCACCTCCTGGGTTCAAGCGATTCTCCTGCCTCAGCCTCCAGAGTAGCTGGTATTACAGGTGCCCACTACCATGCCTGCCTGGCTAATTTTTGTATTTTTTAGTAGAGATGGTGTTTCACCACGTTGGTCAGGCTGGTCTCGAACTCCTGACCTCAGGTGTTCCACCTGCCTCGGCCTCCCAAAATGCTGAGATTACAGGCATGAGCCACCACGCCTGGCCTCTTTTGCCAAATTTATCAGAGAGTATAAGAGGAAGAGTTGGCTGTGGCAGGAGGGGAGCAGAAGGGGGATGGCAAAACTATTTAGGAATATTGAAATGCTGGGTTCCTGTATTTTATTGCAAAAACTATATCATAAAAGAGTGTTTATCTTTCTCATGCAAGATTGGTAATGTGCAAGAGAAAATAAGCAACTGAAAATCAAGCTATCAAAGCATATTTGAATTTCTTCATTTTAAAAAAATAACTACAAGGTGAATTTTCTGGATTTTATACAATGTTCACGTATCTTTCTACTAATATTAGTTAATGTCTGTTCAGAAGCTCCATTAAAAATTGTGGAAAACCCAGAAAATACAAATTATAAATTGTGACTCAGAATTTAAAGTATAGTTCAGTTATTGGCCTAAAGCATATACAGTTTTGTAGAAACCATGTTTAAGTCTTCTTGTCCTTGTCTAACAAACTTGTTATACATTCTTTCAACTTCGCATACCACATTCAGACCTCTCTTCACTGTTGTGCATCCAAACACTCTCCATTTCTCTCTTACCAACCTATGTTTTTGTTAGACTCTGTAATCTTTATGTCTTCCAGTAATATAGTCTCATTTACCTTTGGAAGCATACTATCACCGATCACTCTATTTTGCTGTATTAATCAGCTTTGTGTATATTGTGAATTTTTATAAGTTGGTGTGTGCGTGCATATTCTCTTTAAACTTTGATTTGTGCATTATTTTATTTGTCTAGAAATAAACTGCTAGCATAAATAGCATTTGATTCTTTCTATAATCATATTCAATTATTTCTTTTCAGTTAATATTTTAAAGTGACTATCTAATTGCTTTTTAATATGGGAAATTCCTATCTATAAGTAAGATCAGTAAGACTGCTGTTATTCCTTTCTCTGTAATTGCAAAATTGGAAATAGCCTGAAAATATAAAAATAATTTGACTTTTTAAAGTAAAAAATCATTTTTCATAAATATTGTGTTCCTGATTATGGACTATCTTAGTCTTCATTAATCCAAATGTTAATTCAGGGATGTATATAAAGAACTCAGTAACTTGAGAAGCTATTGCTTGTATCTGTAGCTGGATAAATATCTCAATGAAGCACATAAAGGGAACTGTATAAAAATTCTACTACCATTATGGTGCACACTCTCTGGAAGTGGGATACTTTTGTCTTCAATCTGTTTGCAAGTGAGCGGTTGACAATGCATGGACAGACTTTGAGTTTATGTGGTTCTTTCTTTAGGTATAAGAAAAAGATGAATGATGATTAAAAAAAATGCAAGTTCGGAAGACTTCTTTATTCTACTTGGATTTTCTAATTGGCCTCAGCTGGAAGTAGTTCTCTTTGTGGTTATCTTGATCTTCTACCTGATGACACTGACAGGAAACCTGTTCATCATCATCCTGTCATACGTGGACTCCCATCTCCACACACCAATGTACTTCTTCCTTTCAAACCTCTCATTTCTGGATCTCTGCTACACCACCAGCTCTATCCCTCAGTTGCTGGTGAATCTCCGGGGCCCGGAAAAGACCATCTCGTATGCTGGTTGCATGGTTCAACTTTACTTTGTTCTTGCACTGGGAATCGCAGAGTGTGTCCTACTGGTGGTGATGTCGTATGATCGTTATGTAGCTGTGTGTAGACCTTTGCATTACACTGTCCTCATGCACCCTCGTTTCTGCCACTTGTTGGTTGCGGCTTCTTGGGTAATTGGTTTTACTATCTCAGCACTTCATTCCTCCTTTACTTTCTGGGTACCCCTTTGTGGACATCGCCTAGTGGATCACTTCTTCTGTGAAGTTCCAGCACTTCTGCGTTTATCATGTGTTGACACCCATGCAAATGAGCTGACCCTCATGGTCATGAGCTCCATTTTTGTTCTCATACCTCTCATTCTCATTCTCACTACCTATGGTGCCATTGCCCGGGCTGTACTGAGCATGCAATCAACCACTGGGCTTCAGAAAGTGTTTAGGACATGTGGAGCCCATCTTATGGTTGTATCTCTCTTTTTCATTCCAGTCATGTGCATGTATCTCCAGCCACCATCAGAAAATTCTCCTGATCAGGGCAAGTTCATTGCCCTCTTTTATACTGTTGTCACACCGAGTCTTAATCCTCTAATCTACACTCTCAGAAACAAGCATGTAAAAGGGGCAGCGAAGAGACTATTGGGGTGGGAGTGGGGGAAGTGACAGGGAAATCATGTTGTCTGTTGTCATTGTTTTTCCTAGGGTCTTAGCCATCTTGAAAGGTGGTTTCCCTGCTTCTTTGTGATTTATTTTTGTTCTAACAGCTCACAAAACAGAATAGTTCAGTCTCACATTTGTTGCTCTTTTTATTATTTAGTTCTGAAATATTATGTTGAGATAAAGTTTCTGATTAGTGCCACTTTGTTCTTTTACAATTGTATATTTTATTTCTGTGAAAATTGTGGACTGTGGTTTCAACGTAAATAAATGTGCATGCGAATAGTTATGAGGAGATTATTTCAAAAATGTTGGGAATATTTCTAACAATGTGCTAAATTATGAACTGATGATATATACAGAAAGAGAAGGGCAATATTGCAAAGACTTAGGCTAAAAAGGTTTTTGGTTATTGAATAAACCTTAAATGAAGCTAAAAATAGTCACAGCAAAGAAAAATGGTAAACATAATGAATAACATTGTTTAAGATATGGTAAAGGATATATCATAAGTATTTGGTTGAAAGACACTTTTTAAAGACACTAAATTATCTAATTTATCCTGTAGGTCTACATACTTGTCACATTGAACAGTAAACTAATATCTCTTTAAAATGGCTCTTTCGTTCATCTGTCCATTTATTCATTAACTTATTCTTTATTAGCTAAATCTTATTGAATGTGTACTCTCTTCCAGTTTGTGAAATTCTTGGTAACGTGTATAAATATAACATACTCTGTCTGAACAGAACACACTCTCTGTCAGGAAAAATGGCAACATAAAAGATGAAGTATCTGTGCATGGCTTAATTTGTCACTGGGGGTAATGCTAATACATTAAGACAGCTTTTAAAAGTCAGAAACAATAAACTCTGATTACTCTTCAGATTGTATAAATCTTTCTTTCACTTTTTAAAAATCAAAAACAAGGCCGAGCACGGTGGCTCACACCTGTAATCCCAGCACTTTGGAAGGCCGAGTCAGGTGGATCATGAGGTCAGGAGACCAAGACCATCCTGGCTAACAAGGTGAAACCCCATCTCTACTAAAAATACAAAACAATTAGCTAGGCATGGTGGCACATGCCTGTAGTCCCATTGAAGCTAAACTTTTTTTTCACTTTACATGAACATTTTGAAATCACTACTAAATTCAATATTTTCAACATATTATTTCATCCGTATGTAAAATTATTGGGATTGCAATTGTTATGTTTTCTATAATCACATTTTTGAAAATAACCTGAAAATGCTGAAAAGAAAAGTTCCTTATTCATTAACAAAGAAAAATTTTGTGTTTTATGGAAATTATCTTCCTTAGCTAGGTTAGAAATTTCTTTCAATTACCATTTACCTAGAAGTCACCATAAAATGAATGGGAAGAACTCGATAGTTATTCTTCTATAAGGCAAATATATGAATAAAATATAAAATTAAAAAATTGTTTTCTATTTTTTGTGACTTTTTATTATGGTAAAATTTCAAACTTAGAGAAGAATTGCAAAAAAGTAGTACAAAGACTGACATTTACCCTATAACCAGATTAAGCATTAGTTTACATTTTCCCCCAAAGCTTTGTTATATCATCTATCTATCTATCTATCTATCTATATCTCTATCATCTATTATATCTATCTATCTATCTATCTATCTATCTATCTATCTATCTATCTATCATCTATCTCTTTTTCTGCACTAGCTGAGAGTAAGTTGGAGATGCCACGTACCTTTACACCAAGTACTTTTTTTTTTAATTATTAGGTCATTTTTATTCCTTTTAAATTTTTTATTTTGTGTTAATTATTTGTCTGCATTCTATGTACATAACTGTATTGGAGTTTCAGTTTCATATTAAGTTGTATAAACTTTTGTGTTCCAAGGTTATACAAATTCATATGTATTTTCTTAGTTCATTGACTCTTATTTTGGTTTGTTACAATTTGTGATGTTAAAAGTCTAAAAATGTGTGCGTGGTTAATACTATCTATTGTTCATTAACATTGTGGTTTCTTCCTTTTCTTAATGCTATAATGTTCTTTTATTATAATTATTATTATTATACTTTAAGTTCTACGGTACATGTGCACAACCTGCAGGTTTATTACATATGTATACATGTGCCATGTTGCTGTGCTGCACCCATTAACTCGTCATTTACATTAGGTATATCTCCTCATGCTATCCCTCCCCCCACCACACAACAGGCCCCGGTGTGTGATGTTCCCCTTCCTGTGTCCAAATGTTCTCATTGCTCAATTCCCACTCATGAGTGAGAACATGCGGTGTTTGGTTTTTTGTCCTTGGGATAGTTTGCTGAGAATGATGGTTTCCAGCTTCATCCATGTCCCTACATGGACATGAACTCATCATTTTTTATGGCTGCATAGTATTCCATGGTGTATATGTGCCACATTTTCTTAATCCACTCTATCATTGTTGGACATTTGGGTTGGTTCCAAGTCTTTGCTGTTGTGAATAGTGCCGTAATAAACATACGTGTGCATGTGTCTTTCTAGCAGCATGATTTATAATCCTTTGGGTATATACCCAGTAATGGGATGGTTGGGTCAAATGGTATTTCTAGTTCTAGATCCCTGAGGAATCACCACACTGACTTCCACAATGGTTGAACTAGTTTACAGTCCCACCAACAGTGTAAAAGTGTTCCTATTTCTCCACATCCTGTCCAGCACCTGTTGTTTCCTGACTTTTTAATGATTGCCATTCTAACTGGTGTGAGGTGGTATCTCATTGTGGTTTTGATTTGCATTTCTCTGATGGCCAGTGATGGTGAGCATCTTTTCATGTGTTTTTTGGCTGCATAAATGTCTTCTTTTGAGAAGTGTCTGTTCATGTCCTTCGTCCACTTTTTGATGGGGCTGTTTGTTCTTTTCTTGTAAATTTGTTTGAGTTCATTGTAGATTCTGGATATTAGCCCTTTGTCAGATGAGTAGCTTGCAAAAATTTTCTCCCATTCTGTAGGTTGCCTATTCACTCTGATGGTAGTTTCTTTTGCTGTGCAGAAACTCTTTAGTTTAATTAGATCCCATTTGTCAATTTTGGCTTTTGTTGCCATTGCTTTTGGTGTTTTAGACATGAAGTCCTTGCCCATGCCTATGTCCTGAATGGTATTGCCTAGGTTTTGTTCTAGGGTTTTTATGGTTTTAGGTCTAACATTGAAGTCTTTAATCCATCTTGAATTAATTTTTGTATAAGGTGTAAGGAAGGGATCCAGTTTCGGCTTTCTACATATAGCTAGCCAGTTTTCCCAGCAGCATTTGTTAAATAGGGAATCCTTTCCCCATTTCTTGTTTTTTTCAGGTTTGTCAAAGATCAGATAATTGTAGATGTGTGGTATTATTTCTGAGGGCTGTATTCTGTTCCTTTGCTCTATATCTCTGTTTTGGTACCAGTACCATGCTGTTTTGGTTACTGTAGCCTTGTAGTATAGTTTGAAGTCAGGTAGCGTGATGCCTCCAGCTTTGTTCTTTTGGGTTAGGATTGGCTTGGCAATGCGGGCTCTTTTTTGGTTCCATATGAACTTTAAAGCAGTTTTTTCCAATTCTGTGAAGAAAGTCATTGGTAGCTTGATGGGGATCGCACCGAATCTATAAATTACCTTGGGCAGTATGGCCATTTTCGCGATATTGATTCTTCCTATCCATGAGCATGGAATGTTCTTCCATTTGTTTGTATCCTCTTTTATTTCATTGAGCAGTGGTTTGTAGTTCTCCTTGAAGAGGTCCTTCACATCCCTTGTAAGTTGTATTCCTAGGTATTTGATTCTCTTTGAAGCAATTGTGAATGGGAGTTCACTCATGATTTGGCTCTCTGTTTGCCTGTTATTGGTGTATAAGAATGTTTGTGATTTTCGCACATTGATTTTGTATCCTGAGCCTTTGCTGAAGTTGCTTATCAACTTAAGGAGATTTTGGGCTGAGATGATGGGGTTTTCTAGATATACAATCATGTCATCTGCAAACAGGGACAATTTGACTTCCTCTTTTCCTAATTGAATACCCTTTATTTCTTTCTCCTGCCTGATTGCCCTGGCCAGAACTTCCAACACTATGTTGAATAGGAGTGGTGAGAGAGGGCATCCCTGTCTTGTGCCAGTTATCAAAGGGAATGTTTCCAGTTTTTGCCCATTCAGTATGATATTGGCTGTGGTTTTGTCATAAATAGCTCTTATTATTTTGAGATACGTTCCATCAATACCTAGTTTATTGAGAGTTTTTAGCATGAAGGGCTGTTGAATTTTGTCAAAGGCCTTTTCTGCATCTATTGAGATAATCATGTGGTTTTTGTCTTTTGTTCTGCTGGATTACGTTTATTGATTTGCGTACGTTGAACCAGCCTTGCATCCCAGGGATGAAGCCCACTTGATCATGGTGGATAAGCTTTTTGATGTGCTGCTGGATTCGGTTTGCCAGTATTTTATTGAGGATTTTTGCATCGAGGTTCATCAGGGATGTTGGTCTAAAATTCTTTTTTTGTTGTGTCTCTGCCAGGCTTTGGTATCAGGATGATGCTGGCCTCATAAAATGAGTTAGGGAGGATTCCCTCTTTTTCTATTGATTGGAGTAGTTTCAGAAGGAATGGTACCAGCTCCTCCTTGTACCTCTGGTAGAATTCGGCTGTGAATCCGTCTGGTCCTGGACTTTTTTTTGGTTGGTAAGCTACTAATTATTGCCTCAATTTCAGAGCCTGTTATTTGGTCTATTCAGAGATTCAACTTCTTCCTGGTTTAGTCTTGGGAGGGTGTATGTGTCGAGGAATTTATCCATTTCTTCTAGATTTTCTAGTTTATTTGCACAGAGGTGTTTATAGTATTCTCTGATGGTAGTTTGTGTTTCTGTGCGATCGGTGGTGATATCCCCTTTATCATTTTTTGTTGTGTCTATTTGATTCTTCTCTCTTTTCTTCTTTATTAGTCTTGCTAGCAGTCTATCAATTTTGTTGATCTTTCAAAAAACCAGCTCCTGGATTCATTGATTTTTTGAAGGGTTTTTTGTGTGTCTATCTCCTTCAGTTCTGCTCTGATCTTAGTTATTTCTTGCCTTCTGCTAGCTTTTGAATGTGTTTGCTCTTACTTCTCTAGTTCTTTTAATTATGATGTTAGGGTGTCAGTTTTAGATCTTTCCTGCTTTCTCTTGTGGACATTCAGTGTTATAAATTTCCCTCTACACACTGCTTTAAATGTGTCCCAGAGATTCTGGTATGTTGTATCTTTGTTCTCGCTGGTTTCAAAGAACATCTTTATTTCTGCCTTCATTTCGTTATGTACCAGTAGTCATTCAGGAGCAGGTTGTTCAGTTTCCATGTAGTTGAGTGGTTTTGAGTGAGTTTCTTAATCCTGAGTTGTAGTTTGATGGCACTGTGGTCTGAGAGACAGTTTGTTATAATTTCTGTTCTTTTACATTTGCTGAGGAGTGCTTTTCTTCCAGCTATGTGGTCAATTTTGGAATAAGTGTGATGTGGTACTGAGAAGAATGTATATTCTGTTGATTTGGGGTGGAGAGTTCTGTAGATGTCTATTAGCACCGCTTGGTGCAGAGCTGAGTTCAATTCCTGGATATCCTTGTTAACTTTCTGTCTTGTTGATCTGTCTATTGTTGACAGTGGGGTGTTAAAGTCTCCCATTATTATTGTGTGGGAGTCTAAGCCTCTTTGTAGGTCTCTAAGGACTTGTTGTATGAATCTGGGTGCTCTTGTATTGGGTGCATGTATATTTAGGATAGTTAGCTCTTCTTGTTGAATTGATCCCTTTACCATTATGTAATGGCCTTCTTTGTCTCTTTTGATCTTTGTTGGTTTAAAGTCTATTTTATCAGAGACTAGGATTGCAACCCCTCCCTTTTTTTGTTTTCCATTTGCTTGGTAGATCTTCCTCCATCCCTTTATCTTGAACCTATGTGTGTCTCTGCATGTGAGATGGGTTTCCTGAATACAGCACACTGATGGGTCTTGACCCTTTATCCAATTTGCCAGTCTGTGTCTTTTAATTGGAGCATTTAGCCCATTCAAGACATTTACACCAAATATTTTATTCAATGTTTCTTGTCTAAGAAGAAGGATGTTATTTTACATAAGTCCTGCACAGTACCCAAATCAGCAAATTTAATATGGGCACAATATTATTATCTAATCCATAGTCCACAGTGAGATTTCTTAAATAGTCCCAATAATTTTGTTAATAGCCACTTTTTAAAAAAATCCCAGATGATACACTGAGAAATCACATCTCACTAGTCTCCTTCCATCTGGACCAGTGCCACAGCCTTTGTTTGTCTACTTAAACTTGATACTTTTGAATTGTACAGGCAAACTATTTCTCTCAATTAGAGTTTTTCTCATGTGTCTTCATTATTAGAATTAGTCTGTGTATTTTTAACATAAATATCACTGAGGTGACATCATGTTCTGTTCAGAGCAGCATCTCAGCAGTCTCATGATGTTGGTTTGTACAAATACAGGTGATCTTAAGATCAATAAAATCACTTGGTTATGTTGGTGTCTGCCAGGTTTTTCTACTGTAAACTTCACTGTTTTTCAGTTTGAAATTAACAAGAAAGTTGTGAGGAGATATTTTAGACTATGTACATGTCCTGTTCCCCATCAAATTTTTATCCACTAGTTTTGCAATCATTTATGTTTTTCTTAACACCATCATCCCTTCTATGTTTATTAATTAGGGATCTACTGTTAGGAATGGCTTTTTCTTCACCATTCATTTATTTACTCTTACTTTTTATATCAGTACGAGCTTTATAATTCTTCTTTTGTTAAGTTCATTACTACTAATGGTTAAATTGTCCTACAATTAAATGATGGCAAGCCCTTCAAACTGGATTTTATTTTTTTTACGTATCCTGATGTTTTTTGGAGCATTTGTTTACTGCTTTTTGAGTTTACCTGATTTTTTTTTTCTCTCAGGTAATAGGAAATGAATGATGATGGAAAAGTCAATGCTAGCTCTGAGGGGTACTTTATTTTAGTTGGATTTTCTAATTGGCCTTATCTGGAAGTAGTTCTCTTTGTGGTTATTTTGATCTTCTGCTTGATGACACTGATAGGAAACCTGTTCATCATCATCCTGACGTACCTGGACTCCCATCTCCATACTCCCTTGTATTTCTTCCTTTCAAATCTCTCATTTCTGGATCTCTGCTACACCACCAGCTCTATCCCTCAGTTGCTGGTCAGTCTCTGGGGTGTGGGAAAGACCATTTCTTATGCTGGTTGCATGGTTCAACTTTACTTTGTTCTCACACTGGGAACCACAGAGTGTTTCCTACTGGTGGCGATGTCCTATGACCGTTATGCAGCTGTGTGTAGACCTTTGCATTACACTGTCCTCATGCACTCTCGTTTCTGCCACTTGTTGGCTGTGGCTTCTTGGGTAAGTGGTTTTACAAACCCAGCACTTCATTCCTCCTTCACCTTCTGGGTACCTCTGTGTGGACACCGCCAAATAGATCACTTTTTCTGTGAAGTTCCGGCACTTTTATGATTATCATTTGTCAATACCCGTGAAAATAAACTGACCCTCATGATCACAAGCTCCATTTTTGTTCTGCTACTTCTCACCCTCATTTTCACTTCCTATGGTGCTATTGCCCAGGCTGTACTGAGGATGCAGTCAACCACTGGGCTTCAGAAAGTATTTGGAACATGTGGAGCTCATCATATGGTTGTATCTCTCTTTTTCATTCCGGCCATGTGCATGTATCTCCAGCCACCATCAGGGAATTCTCAAGATCAAGGCAAGTTCATTGCTCTCTTTTATACTGTTGTTACACCTAGTCTTAACCCTCTAATCTACACCCTCAGAAACAAAGATGTAAGAGGGGTAGTGAAGAGACTAAGGGGGTGGGAGTGAGCCTGTGTTTGTGTGATATTAACAATATAATGGAGTCTTTCCTCACAATGATTCATCCATCTGTTCATTTATCAACCATTCTTTTATTCACTCACTCTGTTAGCACTTGCTGAGCATGTACTCTAACAAAGTCGTGG
This sequence comes from Homo sapiens, assembly GCF_000001405.40. Classification (NCBI taxonomy): domain Eukaryota; kingdom Metazoa; phylum Chordata; class Mammalia; order Primates; family Hominidae; genus Homo; species Homo sapiens. The sequence continues at coordinate 448,324 of NT_167247.2, forward strand.
AGATCCTGGTAACAGGTAGGAATAAAACACATTCAGCTTAAATACCATTCACTTTTGGAGAAAACAGCTGTGTAAAATCAAGATAAAACATCTATAGTGATGTTTTTCCATGGCACAAACCTAATGAATACAAGAAAGACTTTTCCTGATTAAAAATAAGGCATGAAATTTGTTGTAAATATTGATAAAAGTGAAGTTATAATTCCTATGAAAAGATGATACTCTCAATTTTAAAATATCTAGAATATGTCTTTTAATTTTTTGCTGTTTAGGCAGAATACTTTTGTCTTCTATCTTTAGTTTAGTTGAATACACAGCAAAATACTTCAAATCCTTTCCTCCAACACTACTTATTTTTTGTTGGATGTAAATTTTGAGAGGAATTTTGGTCCATATTCTTTGATATCCAATATCAATAGTAAGACAATAAGTTTTATAAATTGTAGCAAGAGAGATGTTGAAGCAGTGTAGCAGAAGTCGGCGTCCAAGATCCCTCTTTTTTACAAGGCAGTGAGAAGGATATTGGAGGTGAAAGGAGCTGGTAAAGCTGACCTATGTAGCTTATAAAGAAATGGTCATCACCGTCTAGGTATACTTAGGTGAGGTAAGTGCTTGGAGCAACTGCATTACCTAAAGAGCTATGGAGAACATTTGAGGCAAATAGAGAGGCTCTGAAAATGACTTGAAGTCAATGGGTGTATAAAAGAATTATGTTTAAATATACTGGAAAATTTTTATGATAAAAGCTGTTATATGGAAAATGTTAGTTTATTTTTATTTTTAAGTTTGTTCTAATTTGAATATTTATAGTTAATAAGTATATTAGGAATATCAATATATGGTTTCAAATAAATATATTTTATAGAAGTTATCATTTTGTTCTATATATTATTGTCAACCATCTTCATCTGAAATAATTGCGTTATACCTAGAGCAATTTAAACTGACAGTCATAGTCAAATGATGTGGAAAAATGACTAAAGGAGAATTCAGTATAATGTAACGTACTTGCAATGCCTGAGTTTTCTCTATAACTGGAATGTCAGCTGTAGCTTTTGAGGCCTGTGAGATTTGGATGTGATTGATTCACACACTATTTCCTAAATTATAAAAATAAAAATGCATCTCGGAACTTCCCTCCAATTTCTAGTGTGACTTGCAATTGCATTGATTCTGCTGACTTTATCTTCTTTCTGCATCTGTGACTCTTCCTTTATTTCTAACTAGGCATGAAAAATATGAGTCATTTGCCCTTGTCCTTAAGCTTACCCAAGAAATGAAGAACCAAGAATAGTGTATGTAAAATAACTTCTAGTAAACAATTGAGACCACTTAGGGTAAAACATCACATAAAAACAAATTTTTTAAAACTTAAAGAACATAGCTTAGCTCTTTGAACTATTTCCTACTATGGAAATCTTACGATTTGTAACACTTCCTGTAGCATCCTGGTTTCTCACCTACTCAAATATCCTCTCCATCTTTATTAAGTGAAAAGTTGTATTTATTTATGATATACAGCATAAAGTTTTGATATATGTATAATTATGCAATTATTATTCAAGCTAATTAACAAATCATTAACTCACATACTTACCTGTTTTGTGGTGAGAACATTTAGGATCTGTTATCTTAGCAATTTTCAAGTATGCAGTACAGTTTTATTAACTATAGTCACCATACTATAGAATAGATCTCTTGAATTTATTCCTTCTAACTGAAACTTTGTACCCTTTGACCAGCATCTCCCCATTTTCCCTCCCTCCACTGCTAACCCCTGACAAGCCTCATTCTACTACTTTGTGCTTCTATGAGTTCATTTTATGTAGATTTCACACATTAGATCGTGCAGTATTTATTTTTCTGTGCCTGGCTCATTTTACTTAGCAAAGTGTCCTCAGGTTTGCCATGTGTTTGAAAATATTAGGACTTCCTTCTTATTTTAAGGCAGAATAGTATTCTATTGTATATAAACTACACTTTTTAAATTCACTCATTCATTGATTGACTCTTAGATTGATTCAATACTTTGGCTATTATGAATTTGCTGCCATATTCATGGAAGTGGAGATAGCTCTTCAACATAGTGATTTAATTCTTTTGGATATAAACCCAGAAGTGTGATTGATGGATCATATGGCAGTTCTATTTTTATTTATTATTAATTAATTAATTAATTAATTTTTTGAGACAGAGTCTCGCTCTGTCGCCCAGGCTGGAGTGCAGTGGTGGGATCTCGGCTTACTGCAACTCCCACCTCCTGGGTTCTAGCGATTGTCTTGCCTCAGCCTCCAGAGTAGCTGGGACTACAGGTAAGCACCACCACGCCCAGCTAATTTCTGTATTTTTAGTAGAGACAGGATTTCTTGTGTGTGTGTGTGTGTGTGTGTGTGTGTGTGTGTGTGTGTGTGTCCTAGCAAATCTTTAATTACCCTAAGGCTGATGTAGTTTCTCGTATAAGTTCTTATGAAATCTTTTATTTTTCATTATTTTTATGTTTATTTTACTTTAAGTTCTCGGATACATGTGCAGAATGTGCAAATTTGTTACATAGGTATACATGTGCCATAGTGGTTTGCTGCACCTATCAACCTGTCATCTAGGTTTTAAGCCCCATATGCATTAGATATTTGTCCTAATGCTCTCCCTCTCCTTCCCCCTGAACCCGTGACAGGCCCCAGTGTGTGATGTTGCCCTCCCTGTGTCCATGTGTTCTCATTGTTTAACTACCGCTTATGAGTGAGAACATGCAGTGTTTAGTTTTCTGTTCCTGTGTTATTTTGCTGAAAATAATGGTTTCCAGCTTCATCCATGTCCCTGCAAAGGACATGAACTCATTCTTTTTTATGGCTGCATAGTATTCCAAGGTGTATATGTGCCACATTTTCTTCATCCAGTCTATTATTGATGGGCATTTGGGTTGGTTCCAAGTCTTTCCTATTGTAAATGGTGCTGCAATAAACATACATGTGCATGTGTCTTTATAGTAGAATGATTTATAATCCTTTGGATATATACGCACTCATGGGATTGCTGGGTCAAATGGTATTGCTGGTTCTAGATCCTTGAGGAATCGCCACACTGTCTTCCACAATGGATGAACTAATTTACTCTCCCACCAACAGTGTAAAAGCATTCCTATTTCTCCACAGACTCGCCAGCATCTGTTGTCTCCTGACATTTTAATAATTGCCATTCTAACTAGTGTGAGATGGTATCTCGTGGTTTTGATTTGCATTTCTCGAATGACCAGTGATGACGAGCTATTTTTCATGTGTTTGTTGGCTCCATAAATGCCTTCTTTTGAGAAGTTTCTATTTATATCCTTTGCTCACTTTTTGATGGGGTTGTTTGTTTTATTTTCATAAATTTGTTTAAGTTCCTCATATATTCTGGATATTAGACTTTTGTCAGATGCATAGATTGCAAAAATTTTGTCCCATTCTGTAGGTTGCCTGTTCACTCTGATGGTAGTTTCTTTTGCTGTGCAGCAGCTCTTCAGTTTAATTAGATCCCATTTGTCAATTTTGTCTTTTGTTGCCGTTGCTTTTGGTGTTTTAGTCATGAAGTCTTTGCCCATGCCTATATCCTGAATGGTATTGCCTAGGTTCTTTTCTAGGGTTTATATGGTTTTGGGTTCTACATTTAAGTCTTTAAGCTATCTTGAGTTAATTTTTGCCTAAGGTATAAGGAAGGGGTCCAGTATCAGTTTTCTGCATATGGCTAGCCAGTTTTCCCACCACCATTTGTTAAACAGAGAATCCTTTCCCCATTGCTTGTTTCTGGTAGAGATGGGATTTCACCATGTTGGCCAGGCTGGTCTCAAACTCCTGACCTCAGGTGATCTGCCGACCTCGGCCTCCCAAAGTGTTGGAATTACAGGCATAAGCCACTGCGCCTGGCCCTATTTTAAATTTATTTAGGAAACTTCATAGTGTTTTCCCTCATGGCTGTCCTAATTTACATTTCAAAAAACAATGTAACAATGTATAAGAATTCTCTTTTCTCCATATTCTTCCCACCACCTGTTGTCCTTTGTGTTTTTCATAATAGATCTAACTGGTGTGAGGTATGAGGTGATAGCTACTGGTGTGGGCCTGAACTTTAGGTCCAGTGGAACCTAGAGTGGTGGGGATCAACCTGAAGCCTGGAACTGGCCTGGTTCTAGAGTGGAACTTGCTGCCTTAGGGGCTTGTCTGGAGCCTGGGTTTATGGGGCCCAGCTTATATGTGCTGGTCTGGAGGCTAGGCCCTTGGGTACTGGCATGGATCTTGGGACTACAGAGTCTGACCTAGGGGGCCAACTGGCACTGGAAAGTCCTATTTTGCCGTTTTATTGATATCACTTCTCACTCTCTAAATTTTTTTTGGCTTTTTAATTTTCTGGGCTCTTTTCTCCTTCTTCTCTTACAAAATATATACATTTTCTTTTATATGTGTAGACTTTTTGTTTTCTTTTGGGAGGTTATGTTGGGAACAGGCCCCCAAATCTGGCCATAAACTGGCCCCAAAACTGGCCATAAACAAAATCTCTGCAGCCCTGTGACATGTTTGTGATGGCCATGATGCCCATGCCGAAGGTTGTGGGTTTACCAGAATGAGGGCAAGGAACACCTGGCCCACCCAGGGCAGAAAACCGCTTAAAGGCATTCCTAAATCACAAACAATAGCATGAGTGATCTGTGCCTTAAGGACATGTTTCTGCTGCAGATAACTAGACAGAGCCCATCCCTTTGTTTCGGCCCATCCCTTTGTTTCCCTTAAGGAATACTTTTAGTTAATCTATAATCTATAGAAATAATGCTTATCACTGGCTTCGTGTCAATCAATATGTGGGTCAAACTCTGTTCAGGGCTCTCAGCTCTGAAGGCTGTGAGTGCCCTGATTTCCCACTCCATACTCTATATTTCTGTGTGTGTGTCTTTAATTCCTCTAGTGCCGCTGGGTTAGCATCTCCATGATCGAGGTGGTCTTGGCAAGGTTATAATTATAGGATATCTAATATTGAATCCTAGTCATATTAACCTGTGCTATTTAATTTGTAATCTGAAAGTGATCAGTTACTAATAATTCCCCCAAAGTGTAACACAGATATTATTGTTTTTATTGTTTTGTACTTTTCAAACCAGTCAAGCAAACTTTATGCAGCAGAACAACAAGAATGAGTTCTCTCACTTTATCAAACTGAAGGGAGGAGATAGGTGCTTGCATAAGCTCTGGCAACTTGTATATGAAAAAATCAGGGTAAGGACAATACATTTTTAGCTCTGACGACCTGTTCCTATGTCAACAACACTGAAGGCAAAGTAGAAGCCCTGAGATGCTCCCCTTGTCAGGCCTAAACCTCATGTCAACGTTTGTGAACTGGGATTTCCAAAGCAGAAATGAATTTATGCGGCAAGCAATTTTACTGTAGAACTAACAGTGAAGCCAGCTTTTTCCCAGATAGGAATGATGACTAACTGCACTGAAGCATCAGCTTCTTTTTCCCTGTAAACTTCTGTCAGGAATACCACAAAAGTGTGATTGTGTTCTCCTTAGTGCATCCTATCAGTATGTACATATTTCTTTATTCTGTTATGGGCAATATTGGCTTTGATTACTTGGTTAATGTTGTATCTGCCAGGCATCTTTACTATAAAAATTAGTGTTTTTCTCAGTAATATATAAGTGTCATGTGGGGAAGTATGTTGAGATTAGGTAGCATTCTGTTTTTTAACTAGCTTTCATCCACTAGTTTTATTAGTAAGCATCCCTTAATATTCCTTCCCAGAAACAATTATTACTATAGTGGTTTCCAAGTAATGATTCTTAAAGTTCCATCATTCCTTCCAAATTTAATAATTTGTGTGGCAGGCTAAATACTTCCTCTCCTTCTCTCAAATGATCACAACCTAATCACTGGGATAAGTTATTATATATTACCTTACGTGGCAAAATTAATTTTATTTTTTATATTTTAAGTCCTGGAAGACATGTGCGGAATGTGCAGGTTTGTTACATAGGCATACATGTGCCATGCTGGTTTGCTGCACCCATCAACTCATCATCTACATTAGGTATTTCTCCTAATGCTATCTCTCCCTAGCCCTCCCACCTTCTAACAGACCCTACTGTGTGATGTTCCCATCCCTGTGTCCATGTGTTCTCACTGTTCAACTCCCACTTATGAGTGAGAACATGCAGTGTTTGGTTTTCTGTTCCTGTTTTAGTTTGCTGAGAATGATGGTTTCCAGTTTCATCCATGTCCCTACAAAGGACATAAACTCGTTCTTTTTTATGGCTGCATAGTATTCCATGGTGTATATGTGCTACATTTTCTTATTCCAGTCTATCATTGATGGGCATTTGGGTTGGTTCCAAGTCTTTACTATTATGAATGGTGCTGCAATAAACATACATGTGCATGTGTCTTTATAGTAGAATGATTTATAATCCTTTGGGTATATACCTAGTAATGGGATTGCTGAGTCAAATGGTATTGCTGGTTCTAGATCCTTGAGGAATTGCCCCACTGTCTTCCACAATGGATGAACTAATTTACATTCTCACCAACAGTGTAAAAGCATTCCTATTTCTCCACATCCTCTCCAGCATCTGTTGTTTCCTGACTTTTTAATGATCACCATTCTAACTGGTGTGAGATGGTATCTCATTGTGGTTTTGATTTACATTTCTCTAATGACCAGAGATAATGAGCTTTTTTTCATATGTTTGTTGGCTGCATCAATGTCTTTTTTAGAGAACTGTCTGTTCATATCCTTCGCCCACTTTTTGATGGGGTTGTTTTTTCTTGTAAATTTGTTTAAATTCTTTGTAGACTCTGGATATTAGCCCTTTGCCAGATGGATAGATTGCAAAAATTTTCTCCCATTCTGTAGGCTGCTTGTCCAGAAGGTTTCTTTTGCTGTGCAGAAGCTCTTTAGTTTAATTAGATCCCATTTGTCAATTTTGTCTTTTCTTGCCATTGCTTTTGGTGTTTTAGTCATGAAGTCTTTGCCCATGCCTATATCCTGAATGGTATTGCCTAGGTTTTCTTCTAGGGTTTTTATGGTTTTAGGTCTTAAGTTTAAGTCTTTCATCTGTCTTGAGTTAATTTTTGTGTAAGGTGTAAGGAAGGGGTCCAGTTTCAGTTTTCTGCATATGGCTAGCCAGTTTTCCTAACACCATTTATTAAATAAGGAATCCTTTCCCCATTGCTTGTTTTTGTCTGGTTTGTCAAAGATCAGGTGGTTGTAGACGTGTGGCATTATTTCAGAGGCCTCTGTCCTGTTCCATTGGTCTATATATCCGTTTTGGTACACATACCATGCTGTTTTGGTTACTGTATTCTTGTAGTATAGTTTAAAGTCAGGTAGCATGATGCCTCCAACTTTCTCCTTCTTGCTTAGGATTGTCTTGGTTATACGGGCTCTGTTTTGGTTCCATGTGATATTTAAAGTAGTTTTTTTCTAATTCTGTGAAGAAAGTCAGTGGTAGCTTGATTGGGATAGCACTGAATCTATAAATTACTTTGGGCAGTATGGCCATTTTCATGATATTGATTCTTTGGTATGTTTTTGCAGTGGCTGGTACTGATTTTTCTTTTCCATATTTAGTACTTCCTTCAGGAACTCCCGTAAGGCAGGACTGGTGGTGACGAAATCTCTCAGCATTTGCTTGTCTGTAAAGGATTTTGTTTCTCCTTCACTTATGAAGCTTAGTTTGGCTGGATATGAAATTCTGGGCTGAAAATTCTTTTCTTTAAGAATTTTGAATATTCGTTCTCACTCTCCCCTCGCTTGTAGGGTTTTTGCTGAGAGACCTGCTGTTAGTCTGATGGGCTTCCCTTTGTGGGTAACGCGACCTTTCTCTCTGGCTGCCCTTAACATTTTTTTTCTTTCATTTCAACCTTGGTGAATATTATGATTATGTGTCTTGGGGTTGCTGTTCTTGAGGAATATCTTAGTATTTTTCTCTGCATTTCCTGAATTTGAATGTTGACCTGTCTTGCTAGGTTGGGGAAATTCTCCTGGATTATATTCTGAAGAGTGTTTTCAAGCTTGGTTCCATTCTCCCCATCACTTTCAGGTACACCAATCAAACGTAGGTTTGGTCTTTTCACATAGTCCCATATTTCTTGGAGGCTTTGTTCATTCATTTTCATTCTTTTTTCTCTAATTTTGTCTTCACGCTTTATTTCATTAAGTTGAATTTCAATCTCTGATATCCTTTCTTCTGCTTAATCAATTCGGCTATTGATACCTTTGTATGCTTCACAAAGTTCTCGTGCTGTTTTTCAGCTCCATCAGGTCATTTATGTTCTTCTCTAAACTGATTAATTTAGTTAGGAAGTCTTCTATCTTTTCTTCAAGGTTCTTAGCTTCCTTGCATTGGGTTAAAACATGCTCCTTTAGCTTGGAGGAGTTTGTTATTACCCACCTTCTGAAGCCTACTTGTGTCAATTCGTCAAACTCATTCCCCATCCAGTTTTGTTCCCTTGCTCGTGAGGAGTTGTGATCCTTTGGAGGAGAAGAGGCGTTCTGGATTTTGGAATTTTCAGCCTGCAAAAGGGTTTTTATAGATGTGATTAAATTCTCAACCTTGAGTTGGGATTATTATCCTGTATTAGCCAGGAGGGCTGACATAATCACACATATCCATATAAGAGAGAGGGCATGTAAGTTCTTTCCTGCCACATTCTTAGTCAGAGAGAAGATATTCTGCTGCTGACTTTAAAGATAGAGGAATGGGCCATGAGCCACGGAATACAGGTTGCTTCTAGAAGCTGGAGTAGTTGAGGAAACATGTTCTGTCCTAGAGCCTGCGGAAGATGTGCAGCCCTGTAGATCCAATTTAGTCTTTCTTTCTCCAGATATATAAGATATTTTTGTTATTTTAAACACCAAATTTGTAGTAATTTGTTTTAGCAACAATGGGAAACTAATAGAGTTGGCATTCTATATGAAGGAATAGCTTTCCTTTGTTCCTGTGTGTGTGTGTGTGTACGTGTGTGTATCAGGTATTATTTATCTATGTGTCTATCCATATATCTTAATATGGTCTTATGCATTCTTATTTCATTCTATCATTATTTTGATGCTGAAATGGTCAGTGTTTTGGCTAGAGAGGATCCCTTCTGGGTGGCTTATATGTCTTTTTTATATGTCTCCATACTTCTTAAAATATTTTCTTACTGTTGGCAAACTCAGATGAACTTGACATATCTGACACTTTTCTTTGGGAGGAACAGATAACTTTGTTTATCTTAGGTCAAATGACAAAAACTTTGAATAAAGCAATGGGGTTTCCTAATGAACAATTCACTAGAAATGCATGGAGTAGATAACACCAAGAGATGGTAATATTGTTGGCAAATATTTCTTTTGTTATAACACCACATTTCTTTACCCTCTCAGGAAATGGAAAGTTTTTGTATTGTGCTTGAGAGTGGGGCAATGGTGAAGAACAGTGACTGGCTATGGGTTTGGGGAGTCATTTGGCAGGAGTGTAAATCCTTGAAATTTGAAGATCTTTCAAATTACCTTGATTCTCCTCAACAAAATACTAGCAAACCAAATCCAACAGCATATAAAAACCCAATTTCTTAGCTTTTTGATGAAATAGCTGTTTCCTCACGTTTTCTATCTTCTAGAGGTGACCTATATTCCTTGGCTCATGGCCCATTCTTCTATCTTTAAAGTCAGCAGCAGAGTATCTTTTCTCTGACCTCCAGCCTCCCTCTTATATGGACACAGGTGATTATATTAGCCTACCTGCCTAATCCAGGATAATATCCCCATCTCAAGATTCTGAATTTAATCACATCTATAAAAGTCCTTTTGCCATGTAAAGTAACATATAATCACAGGCTCCACAGATTAGGGTGTGAGCATTTGCATCGCAGAGAAAAAGCCTACCATGACCCCTTGCGTCCCAGGGATAAAGCCTACCATGATCAAGTAGGCTTTATCCCTGAGAGGAAAGGTTGGTTCAACATATGCAAATCAATACATGTGATTCATCACATAAACAGAAATGAAAACAAAAACCACATAATTATCTCAATACATGCAGAGAAGGCTTTCAATAAAATTCAACATCCCTTCATGTTAAAAACCCTCAATAAACTAGGCATTGAAGGAATATACTTCAAAATAATAAAAGCAATCTATAAAAAACCCACAGCCAACATCATACTGAATGGAAAAAGCTGGAAGCATTCCCCTTGAAAACCGGCATAAGACATGGATGCCCTCTCTCACCACACCTATTCAACATAGTACTGGAAGTCCTGGCCAGAGCAATCAGGCAAGAGAAAGAAATGAAAGGCATCCAAGTAAGAAGAGAGGAAGTTATACTATTCCTGGTTGCAAAAGACATGAATCCGTATGAGAAAACCCCATAGTCTTGGTCCAAAAGCTCCTTGATCTGATAAACAACTTCAGAAAAGTTTCAGGATACAAAAGCAATGTACAAAAATTTAGCATTCCCATACATCAACAACATTCAATCTGAGGGCTAAATCAGGAATGCCATCCCATTCACAACTGCCACAAGAAGAATAAAATACCTAGAAATTCTGCTAACCAAGAACGTAAAACATCTCTACAATGAGAATTACAAAAAACTGCTGAAAGAAATCAGAGGTGCCACAAACAAATGGAAAAACATCCCATGCTCATGGATACTAAGATTCAGTATCATTAAAATGGCCACACTGGTCCAAAGCAATTTATAGATTCAGTGCAATTCCTATCAAACTACCGATGACATTGTTCACAGCATTAGAAAAAAACTATTTTAAAATTTGTATGGAACCGAAAAAGAGCCCTAATAGCCAAGGCAATCCTAAGAAAAAAGGAAAAAGCTAGAGGCATCACCTTACCCAACTTATACTAGAGGGCTACAGTATCCAAAACAGCACGGTACTGGAAAAAAAAAAAAAAAAAACAGATATATAGACCAATAGAATAAATAGAGAACCCAGAAATAGTGCAACACACCTACAAAAAAATATGATCTTCAACAAAGCTGACCAAAACAAGCAATGGGGAAAGGACTCCCCATTTTATAAAGGGTGCTGGGATAAGTGACTAGCTCTATGCAGAAGATTGAAACTGGATGCCAACTTTGCACCACATACAAAAATCAACTCAAGATGGATTAAACACTTAAATGTTAAAATGAAAACTATTAATATAAAAACTCTGGAAGATAACCTAGGAAATACCATTCTGGACATAGGACTTGGGAAACATTTCATCATGAAGATGCCAAAAGCAATTGCAACAAAAACAAAAATTGACAAATGAAGCCTAATTAAACTAAAGAACGTCTCACAGTAAGAGAAACTATCAACAGTGGAAACAGACAACCTACAAAATGAGAGAAAATATCTGCATACAATGCATTTGACAAAGGTCTAATATCTGGCATCTAGAAAGAACTTAAACAAATTTATAAGAAAGAAACAATGCCGTTTAAAAGTCAGCAAAAGACATGAACAGACACTTTCCAAAAGAAGGTACACATGCGGCCAAGCATATGAAAAAATGCTCAATATCATTAATCATTAGAGAAATGCAAATCAAAACCGCAATGAGATACCATCTCGTACCAGGTGGAATGGCTATTATCAAAAAGTCAAATTATTAATAACAGATACATCAAGGTTATGGAGAAAAGGAATGCTTATACACTGCTGGTGGGAATGTAAATTACCTTAGCTATTGTGGAAAATGGTGTAATGATTCCTCCAAGAACTTAAAACAGAACTACTCTTCCACCAAGCAATCCCATTAGCGGGTATATACCCAAAGGAATATAAATCATTCTACCATAAAGACATATGCACGAGTATGTTCATTGCAGCACTGTTCACAACAGCAAATACATGAAATCAACCTAAATGCCCATCAACAGTAGATTGGGTAAAGAAAATGTGGTACATAGACCCCATGGAATACTATGCAGTCATAAAAAGAATGAGGTCATTTCCTTTGCAGCACCATGGATGGAGCTGCAGGCCATCATCCTAAGCAAACTAAATGGAAAAGAGCCAAATACCACATGTTCTCACTTATAAGTGGGAGCTAAACATAAGAACACATGGATACTAGAAGGTGAACCACATGCACTGGGGTCTACTTGACGGTGGAGGGTGGGAGGAGGAAGAAGATCAGAAAAAATACCTATTGAGTACTATGCTTATTACCTGGATGATGAAATTATCTGTACTCCAAACCCCTGTGATGCGCAGTTTACCTGTATAACAAACCTGCACATATACCCATGAACCTAAAATAAAAGTTAAAAAAACCTAAACCCCAAATTACCTTCAACCTTCATGAGTTTTTACATTTGAAAGTTAAATCGATAACTTAATGACAATAATTCAACTCTCTCATGCTTATCCCCCTCATCTAACCCAAAACAAAACAAGATGGGATGCTGAGGTGAGGAACCTTTGAATTTTTAAATAGCATTAGGTCTAGCAGAGCCTCAGAAAGACACGTTTACATTAAGAGGACTTTGACTATTGATATGGGCATGTAAGTTCTTTACTGCCACGTTCCTAGTAATTCCTGAATTGCACATGTATGAAATGACATTAATTCTCTCATACTTTAGGGTTGCTTGTTAGTGCCTAGAAGGAATACAGTCTCTGTGGCCAGTCTCCTTGGATCAACAAGAGCCTTGTAGTTTCCCATTTTTCATGTGCTAATAGTGAAAATGTTTAGAAAGCCCCATCTATCCTCCCACATTGGCATCCCACTGATGTGCTGTCCTGGTTGCTAGGTGCAGATTTAGGTTCCAAGCAGAACACTGCTAGTGTTCTCTGCAGTTTGTTGTAGAATCATAGTGTCTTGGCAACCAAAGGCAGATCTGGTGCTATGGAGGACCTGCTTACTGCTATGAGGTGTTACTTTATAGAGGTCCTGGAGAAGCTGATTGAGGCCACGTCAATGTTGCAAGGAGACATGAGACTCACATCAGAGTTCTATGGCTTAACATGGGGGATGGTGGTAAGTGTGGCTCTATTTGGATTTTGTAATTATAAAAGCCCACTTTATGTAGAGAGAAAAAAAAGAGTTTACCAGAGAAGTTTCTTCTGTAGTTGAAGACAAATGTAATGTTTTAATAAATTAGGCTGATTAAAAAAGAATATGAGCTTGGTGTGGTGGCTCATGCCTGTAATCCCAGCGCTTTGGGAGGCTGAGGCGGGTGGATCACCTGAGGTCAGGAGTTTGAGACCAGCCCGGCCAACATGGTGAAATTCCGTCTCTACTAAAAATACAAAAAATTAGCCAGGCATGGTGGCAGGTCCTGTAATCCCAGCTACTTGGGAGGCTGAGGCAGGATAATCCTTGAACCTGGGAGGCAGAGGTTGCAGTGAGCCGAGATCACGCCATTGTACTACAGCCTGGGCAATGGGAGTGAAACTTTGTCTCTTAAAAAAAAAACGAGTATGAAGAGTATAAATTATTTTTCATGGAGTCCTGCCCTTAGAACAAGGCATTAAATCCTCTAAGTGTATAGGAAATTTGAGTTCAAAATAGATGCTTTGAAAAAAAGGAATGTTTTTGAAAAATGCGAATTTTTACAGATTTACAATGTAGAAGTGCAGTTGTGTTCCATGGATATATTGCATAGTGGTGAAGTCTGATTTTTCAATGTATCCATCATCCAAATAAAATACATTGTCCTCAGTAGGTAGTCTTTCATCCCTCAACCCTTTCCCAGCCTCCCACCTTTTGGAGTCTCCAATGCCTATATTTCACTCTATATCCACATGTACCCATTGTTTAGCTCCCACTTATAATTGATAATATGTAGCATTTGGCTTTTTGTTTCTGAGTTCTCTTAAGCCAATGGCCTCCAGTTACAGTCACGTTGCTGCAAAAGACATGATTTCAGTCTTTTTATGGCCAAGTAGTATTCTAAAGTGTGTATATATGTATACCACATTTTAGAAATCCAATAGTCCACTGATGGACACTCAGGCTGATTTTATTACTTTGCTATTGTGGATAGTGCTGCGATATACATAGACACATAGGTTTCTTTTTGATATAATGATTTCTTTACCTTTAGCTTGATATCCAGTAATGGGATTGCTGGATCGAATGGTAGCTCTATTTTTAGTTCTTTGAAAAGTCTCCATACTGTTTTCCACAGAGGTTGTACTAATTTACATTCCCACCAATAGTGTATGTAATCCTTTTCTCTATACCCTCGGCAAAACTTTTTTTTTCTGAATTTAATAATGGCCATTTTGACTGGCATAACATAATATCTCACTGTGGTTTTAATTTGCAGTTCTCTTATGATTAGCATTTGTTCATATGATTATTGGCCATTTATATGTCATCTTTAAAAAAAAAAGAACACCTTAAAGTTCAGAATGAATTACATTCATGGCTAGGTTTAGAATATGGGTTCCGTTACTGGAAGATGTGTTGAAGTCTTTTAAATAGTGAGAAGCTAATGCCAAAATAGCCTTAAAACTATGTCAGAAGAGGAAAAAAAACAACTTAAGACAGCAAAAAAAAAAAAAAAAATTGGGTTTGGATGAGCATTTCAATCTTGAGAAAAACCTAACGTGTTTGCAAAAGAAACTCAAGGATTGGATGACAAGTTTACCACTGGGCAAAAGGATATTTATATCCTTGGATTAAGTGTTAAGTGATAAGAAATCAAATCAAATAACTGAGTAAACAGTTGATGAATATTCCCTACTATACTTGGAGAAGATAAAATGGATGCTGGGACTTAGAATTGGATCAAATCAGAACAAGTACCAATCAATGTTCAGTCAAAGGTGATTGATTTGTTTATGCTTCTTAAAATACTTTTTTTTTTCTTTTTTGTGATGGAGTCTTGCTCTGTCGCCCAGGCTGGAGTGCAGTGGTGCAATCTCAGCTCATTGCAACCTCCATCTCCCGGTTTCAAGTGATTCTCCTACCTCAGCGTCCCGAGTAGCTGGGATTACAAGCATGCACCACCAATTCTGGCTAATTCTTGTATCTTTAGTAGAGACAGTGTTTCACCCTGTTGCCCAGTCTGGTCTCAAACTCCTGACCTCAAGTGACCCTCCCACTTTGGCCTCCCAAAGTGCTGGGATTACAGGTGTGAGCCACCGTGCCTGGCCTCTTACAAGACTCTTCATGGAGAGAGAAATAAAATAGAAATTAGGTTGTATGAATAACATTGAATCTTGAAGCCTTTAAAAATCACACTGAACATATTCGGCATGAATTAAGCATTTTTTAAAATTATACTTTAAGTTCTGGGGTACATGTGCACAATGTGCAGGTTTGTTACATAGGTATACATGTGCCATGTTGATTTGCTGCACCCATCAACTCGTCATTTACATTAGGTATTTCTCCTAATGCTATCCCTCCCCCAGTGCCCCCCACCCCCCGACAGGCCCTGGTGTGTGATGTTCCCCACCCTGTGTCCAAGTGTTCTCATTGTTCAACTCCCACTTATAAATGAGAACATGCAGTGTTTGGTTTTCTGTCCTTGTGATAGTTTGCTGAGAATGATGGTTTCCAGTTTCATCCATGTCCCTGCAAAGGGCATGAACTCATCCTTTTCTATGGCTGCATAGCATTCCACTGTGTATATGTGCCACATTTTCTTTATCCAGTGTATTATTGATGGACATTTGGGTTGGTTCCAAGTCTTTGCTATTGTGAGTGCCACAATAAACATACGTGTTCATGTGTCTTTATAGTATAATGATTTATAATCCTTTGAGTATATACCCAGTAATGGGATCGCTGGGTCAAATGGTATTTCTAGTTCTAGATCCTTGAGGAATCGCCACACTGTCTAAGCATTTGTCTAGTAAGAAAATGTAATTTGAAAGTAAGGTTCAGAACATTTAACCAAATGTTCAAGTAATTTCTAAACTGTATTGAGAAAATGGAATAAAGTTTCATAGATTATTTGTATTAGAAAAAGTTAATTAGAAAGTTTTCAAATGCACATTAAGTGATAGATACACACACACACAAAACAAAAATTCTTAGAGAAAAAAATGAAAAAACTGACCTGTTCTTATCAAAGACATGATTTCCCACATTTAAAAAACCTTGTAATAGTTGATTTACAGTTAAGTTGACTGATGGAAATCTCACTGATTTAAGAAAATCTATATGAAAGTCCAGATACCAGTATTTTTTCCTATAAAAAGCTACGTAGTCAATATTAAGGCTTTGTAAACCAAGACACAAAACTGGAGTATTATGAAAGTACTTATATAACAAAATTAAAAATAAATTCTCACAATTTTTTTTTGTTGCTGAAACAAAAGCACTGAAAATAATAAATACTAGCAAGAATGCAAAGTGAGGGAAACTCTCTTTGATTGCTGGTAGAAATGCAAAGTGGTGCAACCACTTTGACTATTTGGCAATTTTTATAAAGTTTAATATAGTCTTGCCATATGACTTAACAATCACATTCCTAAGTATTTACCCTAGTGAATTAAAACTTAGGTCCGTGTAAAAATCTGCATGCAAATGTTTATATCAGTTTCATTCATAATTACTCCAAACTGTAAGCAACCCATGCCCTTCAACAGGGGAAAGATAATCTTGGGTATTTCCACACAATGATCTATGATTTTGTGGAAGTTGATTGATCAATGAATACTATTGATCAATGGGATGGAATGAGCTACTGATACATGCAACAACATGAATATATGTTAAGGGTATTTTACTAAATGAATGAAGCCAGACTTCAAAGTCTGAATATTGTATGATTTCATTCATAAGACATCTGGGGAAAAAAAACCCACTGGGATGGAAACACATCAGTGGTATCCAGGGCTTAGTGTAAGGGAGATTAGTTTATTACAAAGAAGACACACAGGGGAATTTTTAAATGATGGAGTTGTTTTGTATGGTGCTGCACTAGTAATACACAAGTCCATGATTTATTAATCCCTAAGTAGTGTATCACAAAATTGCACTCAAATGCATGCAAATAAACAAGCAAAAATATCACCAAGATGTGGGAAGATCCTAGAATGGTATGACAGTGGCAAATCAACCTCACTTTATATAAATATGTAAGCTAACAACACTGAAAAGGGTAGAGAAGAAGTAAAAAGTGGCCTAACTTACCTTGAGAAATAATGTTTTGATTAAAAAATGTCAGACTGTAGACAAAAGTAACTTTGCATAAATATGGTATTCTGAATAGTAAATTTGTTTCTCATGCGGGTTCAGCTAATTCTGTAATTGCTTCACATGCATACCAGTTGAACAAAAATATTAAAATATGAACAGTGGCATCCAGGTTTCTCCCTGTTGGTAAGAGAAGTTACAGAGAAGCAAGAAAGGAAGGCCAGAATGACCATTAGGGACTGTGTTAGAGTCAGAGTTATCACTATGACCTCATGTTTAAACACAAGCCCAAATGCACATGGACACACACAGATGGACAAATAAGGAAACAACGACAGATATGTGTGTATTCAGGGCTTACTGTGTAGACACACATTACCTAGCCCTTTCTGCTGAAATAGCCTAGAAACAATGTTACCCTCATAGCAATGTGCACATGTCACACTCAGATAATGTTTTCTAATGCCATTTTCCAGTGAAAAGAAACAGAGATCGTTGGAGAAATGTCTGATTATAAGATATTTCTAAGCCTGGTGAAGAAATATATAAGAGAAGCCTGGAGAAGAACCAGTAATACCAGAAATCAGGGAGGGGCCCTGAAGAGAAAAGGATAACAAAAGGATGAAGACCTGTCCAAGGGACCCAGCAGCTAACTTGAAAGAGCTCTCAATGGGTAAAGCTGGAGCAATTTCAACAACAAAATAAATAACATATCACTGGATTATAACCTGAAGTATAAAACGTATGAGTCCATACTCTTATAAATAAATGATTGAATAAATACATAAATGAGAAGAAGGGAGAAATCTTCCTTACTAGTCTATTAATAGTCCCCACTTTCAGATGTGGAGCTCATGATCTCCTTTGTTAAGTGTAGGCTGGACTCAGTGACTGTCTTCCAAGGAATAGAGTATGGACAGGTAACAATTGTAAGTTTCAGTTTTATTTAGTGAAAACACTACCTTAACCAAGTGATTAAAGTCAGCACCATCAGTGATGCCATGTAGATATTATGTAACCCCTGCTCTGATGGGATAAAAAGGGCACTTTACCTCTGTGGTCTCCTCTGCAAAAATTCAAAGGCCCAGTGTAATTGATGGCAGCTGAAACCCATCTGGACTGTGATGCCGGCTGTAGTAGGGGAGATGCAGGTGTGGCTGTGCGCTCCGTGGAGCCCCTGGAGCCGGGAACAGGCGGAAGCCCCAACCCCTTATGAGTTGACAGGGCAAGAGCCTTGTGCTCCCCAGGCTCAGCTGCAGTTGCCCAGCAGCGGCTGTGGACAGGACATCCCTGTGCGCTTGGGGTTCAGGAGCAGGCAGAAGCCCCACCCTCCCTGGTGCAGCTGCAGCTGCTCAAGCTGTGTCTACAAACCTGGGCATCCCTGTGTTCTTGGGTGCCAGGAGTAAGAGCCCTGCCCTCCTGGGCGCAGCTGCAGATGCCCAAGCTGCAGCGGCAGACCCGGGCATCTCTGCACTCTTGGGGGCCTGGGAAAGCCCTTTTTGCCCCCGCAGGCTTGGAGGTGCCTGCTCCTGGTGTCTGATCTCTCCCTGCTCCTGGTGCGTGCTCTGATCTCGGAGCGTGGTTGAGGCCAGGCCCAGGTGCTATTGCAACCTGGCCTGGTGTGCCCACACTTGGGGCAGCACTGACATGCCAGTCTTCTGCCACCTCAGCCCCCTCTGGGCTTTGGGCACCAGTAAGCAAGGGAGGGAGGCTGGAGGGGGTGCTGCTGAGGGCAGCTTGGCGCTGGCCTGCAGGTGCCTCTTGGCAGGAACAGCCTGGGCACCGTCAACAGTGGCAGGAGGCCCACAGGCTCCTGGGCAGAAAGGGACGGGTCCCCGGTGAGGCCCCACCTTCAACTCAGGGAAGGATTGAAGCCTGGGAGACGGGCTGCCAGCCTCGCAGACTGGAGTGGGGACTTACGATGCTTTTTCCAAGCCTGCCCGTGGCTGCCCAAGGACCAATCAGCAAGCACTTCCTTTCCTCTGAAGTCCATAAAAATTCCCAGACTCAGCCAGACACAAAAAGATGTCAGGACAACCAGCTGCAGAGAGGAATTACCTACCCTAGGGTCTCTTTTCTGCTGAGACCTGAACACTCTGTGGGATGACCTGTCTGAGGAGAGGAGCTACCCACTCCAGGGTCTCCTCTCTGCGGAGAGCTGAACACTCGTTAGGACACCCTGGCTATGGAGAGGAGCGGGTTTCCTCTCAGCTGTTCTATTGTTCAATAAAGCTCCTCTTCACCTTACTCACCCTCCACTTATCCACATACCTCGTGAGTGTGGGACAAGAACTTGGGACCCACTGAATGGCATGGCTGAAAGAGCTGTCACACAAACAGGGCTGAAACATGCCCTTTCCTCACCTCATTGTGGTTGACATAAAGGAGATAAGAGATGCAACTCTTTGGGGAGCCCAGACCTAGGAGCTCCCTGAGCCAGGGCTGTGACACCCTTTTGGGTGGTTCTGTGGTTCCTGGTGCGGAAGCTGCTTGCAGTACACCTGGTCCAGCCGCAGACTTGCAGGGAGATGGCACCCCTGTCAGTGCCTGGAACTGCCTGCCCTGCTGCAGCAAGCATGCCTGGCTGTGTGCAGTAGCTGGACCCCACACTTGCTCCCTCATACACACCTGCCACAGTAAACATACTGCAGTATGTTGGGAGATATTGGATTTTACCAAAAGCTTTTTCAGCATCTATTGAGATGATCATATGGCTTTTCCTTTTAATTCTGTTTATGTGGTGAATCACATTTGTAGATTTGCAGATGTTCAACCAATCTTGCATGCCAGAAATAGAGCCTTCTTGATTGTGGTGTATTAACTTTTTGATGTGCTGCTGGATTTGTTTGATTAGTATTTTCTCAAGGATTTTTCCTTCTATGTTCATCAGGGATATTGGATGGAATTTTTTTCTTTTCTTTCTTTTTTTTTTTTTTTTATTAAGCTAACTCACCTAACTTAGTGTGGGTCACATATCTTGGCTTGATAATCCCAAGCTGTGCTTAGAAACCCAGGTAGCACCAGGACATCCTGCAGCTCAGGGTTGGGCTCTGGCTGCACTGTGGGATCTGATATGCTTCTGGGTTGCTGGGAAAGTACTCAGGTGAAGCAAGGCATTCAGCTGGGCTGTGCAAGCTGCACAATGCACCTGCTTCTCCAGGGCAGCTAGGCATAGGACCTGAGAGGAGCCTGCAGGCAGGAGGGCTTGCAGAACAGATGTGTCTTAGTCCCATAGGGAAGCCAGCCCTGCTCTCCTTTGGCTTGACAGTCAGCTGAGTCAAGAGCCTTGCAGAGGGAGATGGGAAGCTCTCAGGGATGTGTGTCTATGGCTACCCTCCACCAAAGCTGCCCAGCACACAAAAGCTCCCAGGCTCTGCACTGTCTGAAGTACTGTCTCTGCCTGTTCCCCAGGGAGATACCCCTGCCAGCTAACACATTTATGGGGGATATGGGGTCTCTCATAGCTAGGATCCCAGAGGTACATGACAAGAGTGAGCTGTCCCTCAGTTCCCTGGCTCACCAATTTCCCAGGAGCCATCTGGGGCTGGGAACTAGCCCTGGCATTCAGGTACCACTTCAGGGTTTCCAGATTTCTGACTCTACAGCCTCAGCTTCAGCTTTGCTTCTCCATACACTCAGTGTTTTCTCTCCTAAGATCACACATTGACTTTGTATCCTGAGACTTTGCTGAATTTGCTTATCAGCTTAAGGAGATTTTGGGCTGAGATGATTAAATCAACCAATTTATGTTGATTAACTCAATAATTTGGTCTCTCTCGGTGAAAGCAGTGCTTCCTGGCTGCAACTAATTGGACATCTTGTCCCTTCCCATCTGTGTAACACATTTTTTATACATGCTTTATTTTGTCATAATTTTAGCTTTACAGAAAAGTTGCAAAGATGGCAAAGAATTCCCATATACACCTCAACCAGTTTCACTTTCACTTAATGTTACATTTCTCTGGTACATTTTTCAAAATTCAGAAACTAACATTGGTATGTTACTACTACCAAAACTCTAGACTATCTTTGGATTTCAGCAAGATTTTCTTTAACATCCTTTTTTTGTTGCAGAATCCCATCCAGGACACTCCATTGCCTTTAGTTGTCATGTGTTTCAGTTTCCTGAATCTCTGTTATCTTGTTTTTCATGATGTTGATAATTCTGAGTACTGCTCAGGTATCTTACAGAATGCACTTCAATCATGGTTTGTCCAATGTTTTCTAATGGTTATGTTACGGGATCCTTGGGTTATCACTTCACCAGCTGAAAACCTCTGTGGCTAGTGGCACTTATGCTGGGGTTTTGCTCAGGCCCACTGGCCCACTCAGCCTGGCAGCCTGTGCTCAGCTTACATTACCAGCCTGGATACTGCACACAGCCAGGCATGCTTGCTGATATTTCTGGTTCTAGATCCTTGTGGGAGTGTAAATTAATTCAACCATTGTGGAATGCCACAGTAAACATACATGTACATGCATGTTTATAGTAGAATGATTTATAATCCTTTGGGTATAAACCCAGTAATGGGATTGCTGGGTCAAATGATATTTCTGGATCTGGTTCTAGATCCTTGTGGAATTGCCACCCTGTCTTCCACAATGGTTGAATTAATTACACTCCCACCAACAATGTAAAAGCATTCCTATTTCTCCACATCCTCTCCAGCATCTGTTGTTTCCTGACTTTTTAATGGTCACCATTCTAACTGGCGTATGATGGAATCTCATTGTGGTTTTGATTTGCGTTTCTCTAATGATGAGTGATGATGAGCTTTTTTCATGTTTGTTGGCTACATAAATGTCTTCTTTTGAGAAGTGTCTGTTCATATCATTTGCCCACTTTTTGATGGGGTTGTTTTTTTCTTGTAAATTTGTTTAAGTTCTTTGTAGACTCTGGATATTAGCCCTTTGTCGGATGGATTGCAAAAATTTTCTCCCATTCTGTAGGTTGCCTGTTCACTCTGATGATAGTTTCTTTTGCTGTGCAGAAGCTCTTTAGTTTAATTAGATCCCATTTGTCTATTTTGGCTTTTGTTGCTATTGCTTTTGGTGTTTTAGTCATGAAGTCTTTGTCCATGCCTATGTCCTGAATGGTATTGCCTAGGTTTTCTTCTAAATCTTTTATGGTTTTAGGTTTTATGTTTAAGTCTTTAATCCATCTTGAGTTAATTTTTGTATAAAGTGTAAGGAAGTGGTCCAGTTTCTGTTTTCTGCATGTGGCTAGCCAGTTTTCCCAACACCATTTATTAAATAGGGAATCTTTTCCACATTGCTTGTTTTTTTCAGGTTCATGGAAGATCAGATGGTTGTAGATGTGTGGTGTTATTTCTGAGGCCTCTGTTCTGTTCCATTGGTCTATATATTTGTTTTGGTACCAGTACCATGCTGTTTTTAAAACCTGTTTTATAAAAAAGGGAATTATTGTGAGACTTCAATGAGCCAGTGCATACACATCTAGATTTTGGACAGTGCCTGAAACATAGGAAGGATCTAATGAATGTAAGCCAGTTATCATTAATAGTATGATTAGCATTAATCATTAGTAATAATCATTACTCATAATATTGAGTCATTATTTCAGCTTGTCATGTGTATGAAAAAGCAGAGATATAATTTATTATTGGTAATCCCAGTGCTTATTGTAATTTTATAATATTATGATATGAAATGATTAAATGTATATGTCACTTCTTTGTTTCTAGCATAGTGCAGAGAACATAGTTTCCTCATAAGTGAAAGTCAAGTCAATAGTAGGAGATATTTGGTTATCTGAAGGGCATAGCTGATAACAGTAATTGACTCAGCAGCTCTTCCTTCTTATTCTATTATTTTCACAGCCTCTACTCCTCTTCACCTTTTATATGGCACTGGTGCCAGTTCATTTATCAATTCTTTTTTTTTTTTTTTTTTTTGCATTATCAGTAAATAAACTTATCCCTTGACAAGAGAATGGTGATTCCACTGTTATCTTAAACCTTTTCTTATTTATGCATCCTGCATATATCAAAAGAAACCTCAAATACCACTGATTCTTTTTCAATTAAAAAATTCCCACTGACTTTTTTATGTGTGGAGATATAATAAGCAAATTTTCATTCAAAAGTTTCAAAGGATAAGAAGGATTTTTGGAATCACTAAAAATACTTGATATTTATTTCAAGGTTCCCTGGAAACAAATTGGACATTCTGATTACTTAACATGATGCAACCCAGAGGTAATGATGTAGGTTAGATGATCTTGAAAGACCCTTCCCAATCATGG
Organism: Homo sapiens; assembly: GCF_000001405.40. Classification (NCBI taxonomy): domain Eukaryota; kingdom Metazoa; phylum Chordata; class Mammalia; order Primates; family Hominidae; genus Homo; species Homo sapiens. The sequence continues at coordinate 471,714 of NT_167247.2, forward strand.
TAACATAATTCTCTGTGGTAGACACCACTCGCCTTTATTCTAAGTGTCCTAGAGATATCCATGCCTTTCTTTGTGTTGTGTTTCAAGGAAGTCTGGTGCAAAGACTGATACATGCAATGATGTTTTGAGCTTTCAACTCTTTTGCCATTCTGACTCAACTACCTTTTGCCCACAGATTGAGAATAAAATTATCATGTATCTTGCACTGCCTTAAGAACATATAAGTAAAAATCTTAAGATGAGGTAAAAGTGTGTTACAGATAATGTCTTCAGTCACCGGGATATTTTTGACTGACATGGGCTGTCCTTGCCAGGTTCCTAATGGATTTCCACAATGAGAAGCTGATTTTATAGACATTAGTAACATTTGCACTGTCACAGAGAGAAGGTTGTGGCTTTTAATAAAACCAGCCAGTATTTATTAAAGTCCTACTATTCTCACAATGTTGTGTCCTTTATTTTAACCTTAGGGATTCTGAGTCCCTCAAGTTTAATTGGTCATTGTGTCCCCAGAGGCAATAAGTTAACTCTATTCCCAATTGCACTGGTGGCATAATACTGACACATAGGTAGTTCACAAATTCTAAAACTAGGGTGAAGATTAGAGTTATAAAACATGAACTATGAAAAATAGGTTTGGAATGTATTAATTTGAAGAGCATAAGGCTAAATAAACATACAGCCACAAATTTCTTTATTTTTCATTTTTAAATTTTATAGCTGTATTGAGATATAATTTATTTACAATACAGTTCACCCATTTAAAGTGTACAAGTCAATGATTTTTGGTATATTTCATTACTAATTTATAACATTGTGGTAATATATAACATAAAATTTGCCATTTTAACTATTTTTAAGTGTACAATTTAATGGTGTTAATTATATTCATACTATTGTGTAAATCTTGCCACTATTTTCTAAACTTTTTCGTCATCCCAAACAGAAACTCTAACCCTTAGTGATAACTCTCCATTCCCCTCCCCCATCCCCTAGTAACTTTCAACCTACCTTATGTCTGTATGAATTTGCATGTTCCAGATATTTCATATTATTGGAAACATACAATTTTTGCCCTTTTAGGTCTGGCTTATTCATTTAGCATAAGATGTACATATTGCTTTATAGCCTGCTTTTTCACTTAGCAGCATATTGTGAGAATGTTCATGGTTAGGCAGGGACTAGGCAGTGGAGTTGGGTGGAATTTTGCAAACCATACTTAGGAGTTTGGATTCTGTTTTGTAGGACTTGGTCTCAGGGTCAAATAGGGAGTCTTTTGATGGTGTATATAGGAAAATGGTATTTCTATTGTTTACTGATTTTTTTGTGATGAATATGCTTGGACTAAATCTCCCAAAGATCTGTGGTTAAAATATTATTTATATCATATGATGTCATTTAACATAAATTAACACACTGAAGTTTAAGGTTAGCATTAATTCACTGGAGCAGAACAAGTAGAAATAATGAGATTGCAACTGGAATAGTTTTTGAAAATAAGAAGATTTATGCAATGTATAACTTAATAAGTGCTCACCAAAGATTTTCAGTGAAATAAAGAAAATTATAATTAAATTAAATATCTAGTATCAGCCTGGATATAGCCTGGATATATATTGTTTGTTTGTTTTGTTTTGTTTTGTTTTGTTTTTAAGACAGGATCTCACTCCCATGGCCCAGGCTGGAGTGCAGTGGTGCGATCACAGGTCACTGCAGCCTCGACTTCCCAGGCTGAGGTCATCCTCCCGCCTCAGCTGCCTGAGTAGCTGGTACCACAGGTGCACGCCACCAAGCCCAGCTAATTTTTGTATCTTTTGTAGAGATGGTGTTTTAATACATTGCCCAGGCTGGTCTCCAACTCCTGGGTTCAGGCCATCCACCTGCCTTGGCCTCTCAAAGTGCTGGGATTACAGGTGTGAGCCATGGCACCTGGCCACATGCTCGTATTTTAATGTATTTGTTTCCTCTTACTTTTCTTTTGTGTATCATTTTTTTGTTTTGAGATGGAGTCTTGCTCTTTTCGCACACGCTGGAGTGTAATGGCACGATCTCGGCTCACTGCAACCTCCGCCTCCTGGGTTAAAGCAATTCTCCTGCCTCAGCCTCCTGAGTAGCTGGGATTACAGGCACCCACCACCATGCCTGGCTAATTTTGTATTTTTAGTAGAGACGGGGTTTCTCCATCTTGGTCAGGCTGGTCTCGAACTCCCGACCTCAGATGATCTGCCTGCCTTGGCCTCCCAAAGTGCTGGGACCTCACCTGTAGTGTGAGCCACCTCCCGGCCATATCATGTATTTTTATAAATTGTAAACTGACATATGTAAAACAATCATTTTCTAATTTATAAAATTTTCTTGATATGCAGTTTTTGAAGCTATGTAACATTCTTTTTTAAATTAATAATTCATATATACATTATATATGTACATATATATACTTTCTCATTCTTCTACAATTAAATATATTTTCTGAATTTGTCACCTTATACTATAGATCATTCAGAATAAAGTGCTTTCCATATGTGATCTCTTTTAGACTGTTTATCAGAAATGACGTCAGTGAATTAAAAGTATTAGTATAGGCTGGGTGAGGTGGCTTACACTGTAATCCTAGCACTTTGGGAGGCTGAAGTGGGAGGATTACTTGAATTCAGGAGTTTGAGACCAGCCTGGGTGACATGATGAACTCCTGTTTCTACTAAAAATGCAAAAAAAAAAAATTAGCCAGGCATGGTGGTGCATACCTATAGTGTCAGCTACTCTGAAGACTGAGGTGGGAGGATTGCTTGAGCCTGGGAGGTGGAGGTCACAGTGAGCCAAGATTGTGCCAGTGCACTGCAGCTGGGGCAACAAAGCAAGACCCTGTCTCAAGAAAAAAAATTTTTAGAAGTGTTAGTATATAACAAATACATATTTCGAATTGCTTTTAAAAGGAATAGAATTGTTTGGACTTGAATTATAATAGAAAAGTAATTTTAGACAACTTATAAAAGCATAAATCTCACAAACATCATTGAAGAGATATACATATGTGTGTGTGTATATATATATATATATATGCCTCCTCTTTTGATTTTCCTTATATCTTTTCAATTTTAATGTTGAATCCTAAATTATCCTCAGGGTTGTAAAGTTGCTTTTATTTTCCCTATTCCCCTTTAAATCCTAAGGTATACAATAGTGGTACTTCCTGTCATATCTTCATTTGCATTAGCAGTCAGACCCCTGAAATAAATCAGACAGATATTGGGATGACAGTAGCAAATTACCACAGATTGAAATAAGTAGTAGCCCCAATTGAATCTGCTGGAAGAGATATGTTATCCTTGATAGAGTATATTAGCATGTTACTGAGTACCCTGTATGCATACATTGATCTGGTAAATGTTTTCTTTTTCATCCTTATCAGGAAACATGATCAGGGAGTTTGCACTCACTTGGAGCTGACAATACTATACCATGTCCCAGAGCTATGCTAGGTTTTTCATCTTCCATCATAAAATACTGAAGAGAACGGGACTAGCTGTATATTCTGTAGGCCGTCACACTGGCCAACTATATCTAACACATCATGCGTATCAGACAATATGAACAAGAAGTGGTCAATACATTAAAAGCCTTGATAAGACACATGTGATCCAGAGAGTGAGTGTTGCACTCCATAAAGATTCAGGGACCTAAAGCATAAAAGTTTTAAGTGTTTATTGGTCTGGGGCACTATGAGACATTCTATCTAAAGTAAAGGATACATTTTTGCATTATGCATTTCCTATCATAAAAAAGAAGCAAAGTGCCTGGCAGACCTCTCTGTACTTTGTAGTAAGCATATTTGACACTATCGAGTACTGTTCTAATTCATCCACTAGGTGCTGTATTTGAATGGCCTTCAGGGTAAGAATGGGCTCTATAGCAAGTCTAAATTTCACCATAAATGAGGTGGAATTTATGGCAAGTTTATGGGAAGATCATAACAAAATTCTTAGGGTTTTGATAAAACTCTGCTATCTACAGCACAGGATTGTATACATTTCAAAAATAAAGCCCTGGTGTTTTACTGAATTCTGGGTAGAGAAATAACATCTGACCATGGAACAACAAATAACCATGCAGGCAAAACTACCCATATGAGCTGGGGACTGTCTGAACCATCAAGTTATTAGGTTGAGTGGATACAGAGCAATCACTGTAACACGGCATTAGTACATCCAGGATTGACCACAGCATGACTAGAGGGCAGAGGCAAACAGTATGAGCAAGTAGCCCAGGACTTCATGCTATTCACCACTTTTGCATCAATATCTCTTCTTCAGACCACACTTACGCCTCCAAGAGAGAACACTTCCAACTCTAATGGAGGAGAAAAATGTCAAGCTTGGTTCATTAATGGGTCAGCTTGCTATGTGAGTCCAAGTCAAAAAGGATGAAGATAAATTATAGCCTCGCTTACGGTGATCTTGAAAAATAGTAGTGAGGAAAACGCCTCCCAATGGACAGAGTTTCAGATGGTACCCAGTCATTCACTTTGTGTGGAAAGAGAAGTAGTTTGAAGTTAGAATATGTATAACTCATAGGTAGTGATAAATGGCTTAGGAGGCTTTTCAGGTGGCTGGAAAGAAAAAGATAGAAACACTTGGAAAAAAGAAGTCTGGAACAGAGGCACATGCATAAACATATAAGAGTGAAGGTATGAAGTGTTGCATTATTTGTATTACATGCTAAAACTACAAGATGGAATCCATCATAGAAAATGAATTAAGCAACTAGGTAGAAAATGTGACTTGGCGAGCAGTTATTGTCAAGAGCTTCTGACATTTGCCCTCATTATCCTACCTGCAATGCTAGAGCAATGAGCTTATGAATGAAGTCACCATGATAGTAGGGATAGAAGCAATGCATGGGTTTAACAGCATGCATTATAGCCACTGGTCAAACATCCAGTCTTCCATCAATAAGTGTCCCATGCAATGACTGGATAAAATAGTTTCCCATCAAAAGATCAACCAGTTATTTAATGTCAAGTTGATGACACTGGACTTTTTCTACTTTGAATGTAGCAATTTTTTTTGGTAGGAATAGATACACATACTCCAGGCATGGGTTTCTATTCCTGAACATAAGTTCTCAGCCAGCATGACTGTCTAAAGGCTTATAGGATGTTTGACGCAGCAGCAGGAGATCCCACATACCATTGTATCAGAAAAAAGGGCCGACTTAATGGCAAAGAAAGTGTAGGAGTGGACTTATGACCATGGAATCCATTGGCCATATCACATATTGCACTATCATAAGTGATCTATTAGAGTCATGGAGGGATCTGTTGAAGCTACACCTGAAATTCCAGCTCAGATGAAATGTCATCCTTCAAGACCCAGTACTTTAAATCAATTATCTTTCTATGGTGCTGTGTCCTCACTAGGAAGAATGCATGGTTTAGAAACCAAAAGGTGAAAGCCCTTCTTAGAATCCCTACCAGTAACTCATTTGAGAAATTTGTGTTTTTTTTCTCCACAATTATAAGCTCTGTGAGTTTAGAGGTTCTAGCTCTCTAAAGGGAAATATTCCCACTAGGGGGTACAAAAGGTACACTAGGAAGTGTATACTTTGTTTAATTATGATGGTAAATGACCAAAGGCAATGAGATTAACTAAAAAAAGCCATAGTGATCAGGGGCTCAGACACTTCCGGATCATGACACCAGGTAAACCACTGAGAGCAGGAGAGGTGCCAGATAAGGGTGAGAGCAACACAGAATGAATAGTAAGAAGGAGATGGTGACCATAGTTTGTAGGACTTAAGACCAGCCGCAGTGGTGGTCCTCTTCTAAGTTTCCTCCAGATACAGAGGCCCACTATAGCCCTGTAAGAGCTTTTCCCAGATCTTTTTTAATCAATTAATTAATTAATTTTTTTATACTTTAAGTTCTAGGGTACATGTGCACAACGTGCAGGTTTGTTACATGTGTATACATGTGCCATGTTGGTGTGCTGCACCCATTAACTCGTCATTTACATTAGGTATATCTCCTAATGCTATCCCTGCCCCCTCCCCCACCCCACACCAGATCTTATACAAAGGAGTAGATCTGAAATTAAAGGAATAGACAGTGTTGGAAGTTATAATGCTTTACTCAGATAACACTTTCAGAATGAAGGCATTATTACTTCAGCTGCTAGATGTGCTACAGGTAGATAGAGCTCAGCTGAGATCCTTCTTTCTGGGTTGCCTCAGCTAAACAGAGTTGCTTCATCTAAACATATGGCCCTTTTCCATGTAATCTGCATTCAACACTGACCAACAAGGAGATTTAAGGCTTGCCGTTGGCCTCAGCTCAGAACATCAATGAATTGTCATCTCATATTGAGAACTTCCTACAGGGTTCAGTGAAACTTTAGTAGTTTGCATTACAAACTTCCAAAGTAGGTAGTTTGCATTACTTCCTTTCCTCAATCATGCTACCCACCCTTTCCTTTGAAAGATGTTGATCCAAAAAATGTTCCCTAGTAAACTTTCTAAATGCTGATCTCCATCCCTGAGTCGGCTTCCTGGGAAACTCCATTCTCATCTCTCTCTCTATATATATATCTATATATAAAATATATACATTATATATGTAATATATAAAATACATGTATAATATATAATACATATGTATTATATGTATACAGGGAACAAGAAGAGTGAAACATTTAAGAAAGAAAGTTAATTTAGGGATGCATTAGCCAGGTTGTGTGTAATGAGAGCTCAGTTCTCTAAAGGCCTTCTGAAAAGCACACAGGATGTTTTTGCCTGAAGGGAGAGCTGCTGGACCATTTATTCCTAGTTAAAATTCTTCATTGTTGGAGGATTTCCCCTAGGGTCATTAAGCATTTTGTACTTCTAGGCAGCACTTGTCTATATGCCAAATGGGCTCCCATGGTGTCAGACAAGCCTTGGGGCCAAGGGAAGCCCTATACAGCATACTTGAGGTAGGTCACTGTCAGTATGTGTGAGATAATCTGAGTTCACACACAACTGTCCCTTGCAGCTCTGCTGAAATTAGAGCTGGGCTGAAGAGATGTGATACACTGGTACTAGAGGCATCTACTTTAGAAGGTGAGATAGAAATGCTGTATTTTACATTTACAACCATAGGAATGGAGGTGTGCTGGCTTTTACCATGAACTCCCCCAGATAGTGTTCTGAAAAGCAGAGGAGGCCAACTAAAATAAAATCACAGGGAAAACTATATTTGCAGGAAGAAGATAATCTCAAGAGAAGCAGAGATTAAGAGTATTCTTGAATTTTGCATAGTAAAAACCATCTAGTCTAAGACTGTCTCCCCTAACCAAGGACCTTTTACAAATAGTTGATCCAGGGGGAAAAAAAAAAAGCATCTACTTCAATGATTAGTAATTTAAAAGGAACTGGAAGAGATAAGACATATGGATGCATACATATATAAAAATAGCTAGATAGAGACCTGCAGGTGATAATATACAAGAAAGAAAATGGGGAAAGGAAAAGCAATCTGAATAGACAAAAAACGAAACCAGTAGTTAGTGGTTATGAAGTGGATGAAAACCGAAGGGTGGGGTAAGAGGCAGGTTGATTCTGAACATGGAAAAATCTACAAGACTGAGATTCTTTAAAACATCAAACTACTCTTCTACTTTAATATAATATCAAACTCAAATTCACAACCAAAGTGGTAACATTTCATCACTAATTTGAAAAATTCTAAATAAAATAAAGGAAAAATAACACACACACAAAACAGAGAATATATAGATTTTCTAGAATGCACAGCATAGTAAAGACAAACATGAGTAAAATTATGGTGAAATTTAAGCCATGAGGGTCAGTGCATCTTAATGCCCTGTGACATTGTACTTGAGGGTTTACCAGTAGATTAATACCCTTTAAGCATGAGAATTACTGATTGAGAGAACTTCAAATGAATTTGCTTCTAGTGTGTTGATAAAGTTAAATGTGATTTATCATAGGTGGGTAAGAATATGGTTGGTAGATAGGAGACAACAGGGCTAGGATATTCAGAAAATAACCTCCAGCAAGCTTTGTAAAAGCAAAAGCATATATTGATGTAAAAACTTTACATATGTAATTGCATGATATACCATCATGTTGCTCAAACTGCATTAAAGTGTGATTGAGAATTCACCACAATGTATGTTGATGTAATAGTAAATATCAGATTATGTCATAATTTTTCTTAGAATTATGGCTTGAGTGATCTATTTGACACAGTTATTATTGTTAATGATTTTAAATATTTTCATCTAATTTCAAGCTTTTGGTTTTCTTTAATGTACTTTATCATTCTTCATCAAAGAAGGTCATGTAGAAATATAATGTTTCTTTTTTCTAGATGTTATTTTTACTCATGCTCTGCAAAACTTTGGTAATAAATTTTGGTTTCTGGAACAATCCATTGAACAGTTTCATCATCATGATAATTATTGCTAACTTACATTGAACAGTTACTTTGTGCCAAGAACACTTTTTAGTATTTCCCACATTTGCACATTTAATCTCTCCAACAAGCATATGTAGGTTTTTAATTTTGCTCGTTTTCCAAATACAAAATCTAAGGAAAGAACTAAAGTAAGAACAAAAATGTTAACTACTTTTCCTAACATCACACAGCATGAAGGTGGCTGAGGGAGAATTCAAGCTCATCAATAACAGACAGAGTGAAAAGGAGGAATGGAGAAGAGGAGAATGAGAGAGAAAAAAGAGAAGATAAAGGGAGAAGATCCAGGGAGAGAAGAGGGGAAGGAAAAGAGAGAAACATGGGAGACAGAGAGTGAAATAAATCAAGATACAAGGTCACAGAGAAATAAGAGAACAAAAGAAATAGAGAAAGTTATAAAGCTAATAGGCAGTGATTAGAACTATGTAATAAATGTGGTAAATGTATACTCTTTGAGAGCACAGATGAAACACATCTAATATTTAGCAAAGTGATTTTCACTAGCAGGTGCTTACATGTATTTTATATAATATTTATAATGAACAATTTTAATCAGAGACAAAATATGAGGAAGATGTAAAAGAGGAAGAGAGAGAGTGAATGATGAATATCAAAGATTAAAGCACTTCACTAAATCTTGTATTTTTTCCCAAAATACAGCTGGTGAAAATCTTATCCTTGAGTAGAAAGGAATCAAACAAGTCATATACCACCCGTCTTCCTGTCTGTACTGGAACCATCACAGGCTTTTGAGGAACTACTTTTGAACCGTTCCCCAGAGAGGCATTTGCCCCAGTAGCTATGATTATAATTTGCAATGACAGCCACAGTGATTTCATCCTTCTGGGCTTCTCTAACAAGCCACATTTGGAGAAGATACTTTTTGGATCATTTTTATTTTTTATTTTTTGACTCTTGCAGGAAATATGGTCATAGTTCTTGTGTCCTTGAAGGATCCAAAACTCCACATCCCTATGTATTTCTTTCTTTCCAACCTTTCCTTGGTAGACCTCTGTTTGACCAGCAGCTGTGTTCCACAGATGTTGATTAACTTCTGGGGCCCAGAAAAGACCATCAGCTACATTGGCTGTGCCATTCAACTCTATGTTTTTTTGTGGCTTGGGGCCACGGAATGTGTCCTTCTTGTTGTCATGGCTGTGGATTGTTATGTAGCAGTGTGTCATCCACTGCAAAATACCATGATCATGCACCCAAAACTTTGTCTGCAGCTGGCTATCTTGGCATGGGGGACTGGCTTGGCCCAGTCTCTGATCCAGTCCCCTGCCACCCTCCGGTTACCCTTCTGCTCCCAGCGGATGGTGGATGATGTTGTTTGTGAAGTCCCAGCTCTGATTCAGCTCTCCAGTACTGATACTACCTACAGTGAAATTCAGATGTCTATCGCCAGTGTTGTCCTCCTGGTGATGCCCTTGATCATTATCCTTTCCTCTTCTGGTGCTATTGCTAAGGCTGTGCTGAGAATTAAGTCAACTGCAGGACAGAAGAAAGCATTTGGCACCTGCATCTCTCACCTTCTTGTGGTTTCTCTCTTTTATGGCACTGTCACAGGTGTCTACCTTCAACCAAAAAATCACTATCCTCATGAATGGGGCAAATTTCTCACTCTTTTCTACACTGTAGTAACCCCAACTCTTAATCCCCTCATCTACACTCTAAGGAACAAGGAGGTAAAGGGAGCACTAATAAGATTGGGGAGGAGGACCTGGGATTCCCAGAATAACTAACAAGGTTAACATATGTTTACCTTTGCTTAACCTAAGAATAGAGAACAACCTCATCACAAAAAGCTGGAGATACACCTCCTAAGCCAAAAGTAGGAGAGAAAGAGCTGCATTCTGTTCAGGTTGAGATTTCAGTTTCCTTCATCAATCAATTGGGCCCTTAAATTCTTCATATTGTGGATTTAGACACAGTATGGTATAAAAATTAATATATTTAATAGCTATTGTCTTGAAAAGGACACAATGCAATTGAATGGGGGAGGAGGAGAAGACACAAGAAACACATTACTTGCAAAATAAAATACTAAGTAGTACGTTTCATGCCTTTCTATTTCGTTCTTTTTTTGTTCTATTTTCCTACAAGCTCCACCAGTGCTTTCAGTCCCAACAAGATTTCTAAAGTTTTGAGACAGAAACTTCTTGATCAACTTATATGTACCCCTATACTGTAATATGGCAGGTCTTGGTTTTAATTGCTTCTGTCTCTCTGTCTCAGCATGACCACTGTTGACCTGTAATGTGACTTTCACTATCCAATGCAAAGTGTTTGCCATGCCAAAGTCCACATTTACTGCTCTCTGGTGCTGATACTATGATGAGTGTGTGTGCAAGTTTCTCAGTTTGAGCCTTGATATTCTGGGCCCCCAGTTATAGGAATAGACTTCTGTGTTTTTCTTCATTCTGAGGCCTTATTGTAACAAAATGGTTATCTTTTTATCAGACCCAATTATTCTTTCACTTTATAGATATTTATGGCTTTCCTATTATATACCTATTATGTTTCAGATGGTAGTTATGTAATAGTAGATAAAACATATAAAATAATCAACATCGTGGAACTTATAACAATATCATCTCTTGCTCTTAGACTCTTTCACAGTATTGATATAATATTAGATTTGCCTCATTACAAAACCCATTTGTTTATTGCTTTACTCTTAGCTATTATTTGTCTTCTCCATTTACAACCAAACTTTTTCAATTTTGGAAGGAATATTAGGTTCAGCCACTGTGTTGCTTCAGATTGCAGCTAACAACACTGGTCTAGCAAGTGCTTCCCCCTCAGTTCACTCCTGTTCAGAGACAGTGACAATGTGATAGAAAATAAAAACCCATTTTCTGAGGAGAAATTCAAGCAGGCTGCAGAAATTTGCATAAGTAAGAAGGAGCCAAATGTTAATCACCAAGACAATGGGGAAAATGTCTCCAGGGCATGTCAGAGGTCTTCACAGCAGCCCCTCCCATCACAGGCCCAGAGGCCTAGGAGGGAGAAACAGTTTCCTGGGCCAAGCCCAGAGCCCCCCTGCTCTATGCAGCCTTGGGACATGGTGCCCGGTGTCTTATCTGCTTCAGCTCCATCCTTGGCTAAAAGAGGCCAAGGTACAGACCGCTTCAGAGAGTGCAAGCCCCAAGCATTGGCAGCTTCCACATGGTGTTGGTCCTGTGGGTGTGCAGAAGACAAGAACTGAGCTTTGAGAACCTCCGCCTAGATTTCAGAGGATGTATTGATGTGCCTGGATGTCCAGGAAGAAGTTTGCTGGGTTGGCAAGAGCCCTCATGGAGAATCTCTGCTAGGGCAGTGCAGAAGAAAAATGTGGTGTTGGAGCCCTTACACAGAGTACCCACTGGGGCACTGCCTGGTGGAGCTGTGAGAAGAGGGTCACCATCCTCCAGACTCCAGAATGATAGACCCACTGACAGCTTGCACTGTGTGCCTGGAAAAGCTGGAGACACTCAATGCCAGCCTGTGAAAGCAGCCAGGAGGGGAGCAAAGCCACAAGGATGGAGTTGCCCAAGGCCATGGGAGCCCACCTCTTGCATCAGCTTGACCTAGATTTGAGACATGGAGTCAAAAGAGATCATTTATGAGCTTTAAGAATTGACTGCCCTGCTGGATTTCGGACATGCATGGGTCCTGCAACACCTTTGTTTTGGCCAATTTCTCCCATCTGGAATGGGTGTATTTACCCAATGCTGTACTCCCATTGTATCTAGGAAGTAACTAACTTGCTTTTGATTTTACAGGCTTATAACCAGAAGGGACTTGCCTTGTCTCAGATGAGACTTTGGACTTGGACTTTGAGTTAATGCTGGAATTAGTTAAGGCTTTGAGGGACTTGTTGGAAGGGCATAATTGTGTTTTGAAATGTGAGGACATGAGACTTGGGAGGGGCCAGGCACAGAATGATAGGGTTTGGCCTTGTCTCCACCTAAATCTAATCTTGAATTATAGTTCCCATAATCCCCATGTGTCTTGGTAGGGACCTAGTGAGAGGTTGAATCATAGGAGTGGTTACTCCCCATGCTGCTGTTCTCATGATAGTGAGTGAGTTCTCACAAGATCTGATGATTTTATAAAGAGTTTTTCCCCTTTTGCCCTTTTTCTCTCTTCTGCTGCCATCTGAAGAAGGATATGTTTGCTTCCCTTTCTGCCATAATTGTAAGTTTCCTGAAGCCTCCCCAGCCTTGCGGAACTGTGAGTCAATTAAACTTCTTTCCTTTATAAATTACCCAGTCTCAGGTACGTCTTTATTAGCAGCATGAGAATGGACTAATATACCTTCTCTCATGTTAACTGCCCTCTTGGATCAGACGTTGTAGAGATAATTTATCTTGTTCCCAACATAATTTTTCTCTTGAGGGGTGGTTTTGAGGTTAGTGGTCTGAGTTCACACTCATCAAAATCTGAGCTTATTCTAGCATTAAGGTCTGCTTTGGCATTCTCTTTTAATTTCATTTTAGCTATTACAGATTACAATAAGCAATGGATTATATATTTTTCTTTTAAAAATTAGTTTGCATTTCTTTATGGATCTTGTGAACCAGCTCTCTGGGGGTTGGATTTGTATCTAAATTATAGAAAATTTGAATGATCCTGGGAAGACAGGAGGCTTTTCTCTCCAGCAATTTGCAGAGTTGGGTCTGTAGTTAAGATCAAGAGCAGTTGACAGAATTGGTAGCAGCACAAGAGATCATGAGCCACCTAAGGTGACCTAACTGAGTTGTTTCTGGAGATCTAATTTTTTTTTTTTTAGATGGAATCTCACTCTGTCGGTCAGGCTGGAGTGCAGTGGTGCCATCTCAGCTCACTGTAACCTCTGCTGCCTGGGTTCAAGCAATTCTCCTGCCTCAGCCTCCTGAGTAGCTGGGATTAGAGGTGCCTGCCACTGCACCTGGCTAATTTTTGTAGTTTTAGTAGAGACGGGATTTCACCATCTTGGCCAGGCTGGTCTTGAACTCCTGACCTCATGATCTACCCTCCTCAGCCTCCCAAAGTGCTGGGATTACAGGCATGAGCCACCACGCCCAGCCTCTAATTTCTTTTTTTTAAATTTAATTTAATATTAAGTTCCGGGATGCATTTGCAGGACGTGCAGGTTTGTTACATAGGTAAATGTATGTCATGGTGGTTTGCTGCACCTATTAACCCACCACGTAGGTATTAAGCCCCACATGCATTAGCTATTTATCCTGATGCTCTTCCCACCTATCCCCGACAGGTCCCAGTGTGTGTGGTTCCCCTCCCTGTGTCCATGTGTTTTCATTGTTCAGCTCCCACTTATAAGTGAGAACATGCAGTGTTTGGTCTTCTGTTCGTGTGTTAGTTTGCTGAGAATGATGGCTTCCAGCTCCATCCATGTCTCTGCAAAGGATGTGATCTTGTTCCTTTTCATGGCTGTGTAGTATTCAGTGGTGTATATGTACCACATTTTCTTTATCCAGTCTATCATTGATAGGCATTGGGGTTGATTCCATGCCTTTGCTATTGTGAATAGTGCTGCAAAGTACATATGTGTGCATGTATCTTTATAATAAAATGATTTATATTCCTTTGGGTATAAACCCAGTAATGGGATTGCTGGGTCAAATGGTATTTCTGGTTCTAGGTCTTTGAGGAATTGCCACACTGTCTTTCACAATGGTTGAACTCAGGCATCCTATAAAATGGGAGAAAATTTTTGCAATCTATCCATCTGACAAAGGTCTAATATCCAGAATCTATAAGGAGCATCACTGATTATTAGAGAAATGCAAATCAAAACCAGAATGAGATAACATCTCACACCAGTCAGAATGGCC